>NC_000012.12:68217703-68369218 GCF_000001405.40 Homo sapiens
CCAGTGAAAGCAAACAATGCTACCTATAAAGTGTTCTAGCTAAAACATCAAGCTAAATCTGATCAAGTCTCTCTGTATAATTGTTAATGTATGGTAAATAAAGAGGAGAATATATTAAATGACACTATGAAAATGCAGTCAGAAAATACAGACTATGAGAAACTCTGTGAGACAAATGGCCGAATGTCCTGAACAAATACATTTCAAAAAGGAGGAAGAGAAGGAAAAGAAGAAAGGAAAGCAAAATCATAGGAAATATGGTAGAGTTTACAGAAATGTGTTGCTTCAATGAGTGGCAAAAACAGCACTAGACTAAACAATACTTTGGTCCTGCCTAACAAAGCTTAAACAACAAGATCTGAAAAGATCAAACTGTTTGCAACTAATTTAACTGTGTCCCAGAAGAAAACTCAAGAATATTTACAGAAATATAAAAATGTCTAGGATCCAACAAGGTAAAATTCATAATATTTGACATTTGATCAAAATTACCAGCCGTGCAAAGATGCTGTAAAATATGACCCATAACGAGGGAAAAAAATCAATCAATTGAAACCAACCCAGAGTGGACACAAATGTTACAATTAATCAATAAGGATATTTTAAAAGTTGCTATAACTCTATTCCATATGTTCTAGAAGTTAGAGAAAGACTGATCATGTTCAATAGAGCAATGGAAAATATTAAAAAGACTCAATTCAAACTTCTAGAGATAAAAACTACAATGTATGAGGTGAAAAATATTCTGAATGGGACTAACAGATAGGCACTACAAAAGAAACGATTAGTGATCTTGAAGATGTAGCAATAGAAACTATTCACAATGAAACACAGAAAAGACTGGGAAAAAACAACCCACAGAATCAGTGAGCTGTGGGACAACTACAAATGGGCTAATATATGTGTAATTAGCATTCCAAGAGGAGAAGAGACAGAAGGAGATACAGAAAAAAGTTTTTGAATAAATAATGCTGAACAATTTCAAATTTGATGAAAACTATATACTCACAAATACAAGATTCCCAATCAACTCCAAGCACAAGAAGCCTGAAGAAAACTACATCAATTCACATCATAATCAAATTGCTTAAAACAAGTAATAATGAGAAAAATAAAAGGCACGAATATGTTATGAGTAAAAGGATGGAAAAAGACATAGCACACTAACATCAATCAAAAGAAAGCTGGAGTGATTCTATTAGCATCAAAAAAGAAGTGGATTTCAGGACAAAGAATATTATTAGGGACAATAAGGGTAATTTTATAATGATAAATGTGTCAATTCATCAAGAGAATATAACAATCATAAACATTTCTGTACCTAATAACAGAAATTCAAAATACATGAAGCAATATCTGATAGAACTTCAAGAAGCAACAGAAGTTCACAATTAATGTCAGAGATACCAATAATTGATAAAACAAGTAGAAAAAAGTTAATAAAGAGAGAGAAAAAGTAAAAAGCTGTCACAACTAAATCTAATTGAAATGTATAAAATACTCAGCCCAACAATGGCAGAATACATATTCTTTTCAAATATACATAGAACATTTACCAAAATAGACCAAATTCTGGGTTATGAAACATGGATCAGCAAATATAAAGGGATTCAAGTCATACAAAGTATGGTCTCTGGCCAAAATGATATCAAATTAGAAATCAAAATTAGAAAAGTATCTAGAAAAATTCCCACATATAAAAACTAAATAACACTCTTCTAATAACCCATATATAAAAGAAAAAATAAAAAGGGAAATTAGCAAGTAATTTAAAGCAAATAAACATGAAAGCACAACATAGCAAAGATTGTGAAATGTAACTAAAGAAGTACTTAGAGGGAAATTTATAGTTCTAAACTCCTATAATAAAAAGTTAGAAAATCACAAATTAATAATCTCAGCTTCCAAATAAAGAAAAAAAAATTTCAAGTTAATGACCCAAGTTTCTAGCTTAAGAAACTAGAAGGAGCAGACTAAATATAAATTTAATAGAAGAAAATGAATAATAATGTTCAGAATAAAAATCACTGAAATAAAAACAGAAAAGTAATAAAGAAAAATCAATGAAACTAAAAACTGGTTCTTTGAGAAATCAATAAAATTGATGAATTTTTAGCCAGACCCATGAGAAAGAAAAAATAAAGACAAAAATTACCAATATCAGAAATAAGAGAAGTGACATCATCCTGTACTATGCAGATATTAAAAGCATATTAAGGAAATATCATGAAAAATTATCTGGCTATAAATTTGGTGAATTTGATGAGATGAATAAAATCACTGAAAGACACAAACTACCAAGGTTCCTTCAAAAAGAAATAGATAATCTGAAAAAATAACCTTGCATCTACTAAAAAATAGAATACATAGTTTAAAATCTTCCCACAAAGAAAACTCTAAGCAAAAATGGCTTCACTGGTAAATCTTGCCAAACATTTAAGAAAAAATAAGTCTATACTAACACTTTCTGAAAATTGAAAAGGTAAACCCTTTTCAACTTTATGAGGCCAGGATTATGCTAGTATCAAAGTGACACAGATATTACAAGAAAACCGTAGACTAACATCTAACATATGTAGATGCAAAATTTTTAGGCAAAATTTTAGCAAATTAAATCTAGTGATGTATGAAAGAAATAATATATTATTGCCAAGTAGAGTGCATCCCAGAAATGCAAGATTGGTTTAACTTTGAAAATCAATGTAATTCATTGTTTCAATTGTCCAAAAATTAAAAATCATACAATCCTGTCAATAGATGTGTTAAAAAGGCATTGATCTAAATGTGATATTTAAAATGAGGAAACTTCTAAATGTAAAATTTTTTCATGACCTTTGTGTTAAATAAAGATTTCTTCAATATGACACCAAAACATGGTCCATTAAAGAAAAAACTATTATATTGTACTTCATAAAATGTAAAATCTCTTCAAAAGACACTAAGATAATAAGAAGGTGTCATAGATATCTGTCATCCAGGTTGGAGTGCAGTGGTGCGGTCTTGGCTCACTGCAACCTCCACCTCCTGGGTTCAAGAGATTCTCCTGTCTCAGTCTCCCGAGTAGCTGGGACTACAGGCATGCGCCACCGCGCCTGGCTAATTTTTGTATTTTTTCTTGAGATGGGGTTTTGCCATGTTGGTCAGGTTGGTCTCGAACTCCTGACCTCAGGTGATCCACCCATCTCGGCCTCCCAAAGTGCTGGGATTGTAGGCGTAAGCTACCGTACCTGGCCAAATTCTTATATATTCTCCCTTGTATACAAATATATTAATGTTAAATATAGTCATAAGAATTCTGCATGCTCAGAAACATTCTGATCTTATGATTTTTATGCCCTCAAGTCTCCCCTCTCCCTGCTACTTGATCTTTATTTCCAGAAGTGGGAATTAGGAACAGAAACGAACACAACAGTCCTCAACACAAAAGCTTCTTTCTTATGAAGACAAAACAAAGCCAGTCAACTAAAACTAAATAAATAAAAGAAAAAACTAATTCAACAACTTGGTCATTGACAAATTCATCATTTGGCAATTGTTCTGGAGCAGGCACATGGACAGTTTTTTAAGTATATTAAAGGAAAGGAGGAATGGGGTGGGAGGAAAAGGAAAGGAATGAAGGAAGGAAAAGGAAGGAAAGCACGAGGTCTCAGCCATTTGACGAATATCCATCAAGTGCAAATCCATACCCTCAAAATGTGGCAATTATTTATTTCATCACCTTTATCAAATAGTAATGAGTGACACAATGTTGCCTATGAACAGGAATAAAAAAGAATAAATGGAAAGGAGGTGGATAGGACCAGTTGCTCACCATGAGCATTTTATTTTTATATCTGAATTTTGAACTATCTAAAACCTAGAAATGTTCAATAGTGGGCTGGTGATATGAATGTCAAAAGAGTTGTACTGTTATCTGCAGCCAGTAATCATAAAGTTCCATGCAAATGAACTGCAAGTGAAATAGATATTGATCATCTCTAGCTGACAACATGTGATCCAGTAACTACTTCCGGGTTATACCAGAGTTCATCTTTAAGTTTTTCTTTCTGGTGATACAAAACAACACCCACCAAGGATAACTCAAATATAATCCAGGTAATGAGATTTGGTAATATAGTACATAAGTATTCCATCATTGGAATTGCAATATTTCCCCAACCCAAATACTCCTATTAAACCTACCAGGGAAGGCTACTGTAAATTTTAAAGGAATAATTTAGTACTTTGCTCTTGATATGTGAAAATTTTCACCTAATTCAGCATGTAATCAACAAATCCAACCAGAGTCATACCCTATTTGGTAAAATATAATTATCTGAAAAAAAGTTACCATCACAAATTAAAATGTCTTTGCAACTTTAGCAGAGTAAGCATCTTTTAATAACTCTGGTATCCATTAAAAATTGTCAACAGAAATAAAACAGGTACACTGATAAGAGCATTTAAAAATCCCATGCACAAGCTAACAATTTATAAAGAGCTGTAGTAATCCTTACTATTACCTTTAATGTATTAAGATACAAAATACATAATTACTGGATTCTTCAAATGATTTAAAGCAATCAATATCATATGTTTTGCTTTTTTAAAATTATTCCCAAGGTTTGGGGCAGAGGAAACTTTCAGAAGAACACAAACCAATGTTTTATTGTTGGCATAATTTCAAATATTAAGTGCACACATTAAGCAAGTAGGCTGTGTGCCAAAATTCTGTGTAAATCAGCTGTTCAGAACACAGACAGCATTTAACTCTGCAGCAGCACTACCAATGCAGCATTCATTGCTCAATCAACCCCTCAGAATCCTGTTTAGCCTATAGCATCATACTAACCTAAGCATTATCCCAGAGTACCGCCTCCAGGAAACAGAATGGGCCATTTCCTTCTGTCTCCCGATCGTGGAAGAAGCCTTGGATCAGTTTTAAAATATGTCAAGGTTCTGCGGAAAGCTTTCTAAAGCTCAGAGCGTGCAGAACGGAAGGCCCCCTCTCACAGTCCCCCCTTTCAAGAAGGGACTTGACCAATTGTGACTTGATCACTACTGCTCTGAATCCCCAGAGCTTTGTTTTACTTATTTTTCCCACAACAACCTCAATAGTACGGACGGCAGGGGAAATACGGCAAGTATAATTAGTTTCAATAGGTTGACCATTTATACATTGATTACATTTAGTGTCCGTTTTTATTAACAAAATATCATATTTAAATTAATGTTGTTTACTTCATGTTTTATAACTTCTGTCTGCTAAGCCCTCTCCCAACCACTGATTCAGAGATTCATAGAGTAGGTGCTCAGTTAATTTGTATTAAACAGACAGATACCAGTTTCTGCTGCCAGAAATATAAAATTATGTTTGGCTGAAACATTATAGACACCAGGCCAGTTACCTTTTCCCTAAATCAATGTCTGCAGTCTTTCTAACGCTCAGGCCAATCCTGCCGCTTTATGTTTCACGGGGGAGCTTGCTTTACCCCAGGGCATAAACTGCACAGCTTGTAAGACAACTGATGCTCACACTGATAGGCTTGAGGTGGGAGCAGGGAAGAAGGAAAGCGCGGAGTTACGTGTTGCCTAGCGAGATTGATGAGATGATGTGTTCGTATTTGGCCACAGGAGGGAGCCAGACCCTTTGGGAAGCAGCAACAACCAACCAGAGCGGCGCCACACTGTCCCACCCACTTTAGGAAAACTTCACCAGAAACAAACCAAGAAAAACCAGAGTTCCTAGACATATCCAGGTTTCCTAAGCTTTTCATCTAGAATATTGTTCGTTTTAGGTTATAACTGTCGCTATGTGTTCTCTAGCTATTTGGGTCAACAAAACCAAATTAGTAATGAAAACCTGACATGGATTTGGGGGTTCTGACCAGACACTCTGTACTGTATCAGGCAAGGATTTAACAATGCAACTTAAATTTAAGAGACTATTTATAGTTACACATGTACTTTCTTCATAAGGTTGTCTTATAGGTTTAAGCATAGAACAAAATTTCAGGCACCAGAACTGGCCCAGAGAATTCTCCCTGTGTTTTGCAAAGAGGTATCAATTTGTAATTTCTTTTTATCAGTGTTGTAATTTTAATAAAATATGAGAGTTTATAAAAAAACATGCAATCCAAACCTAAGTAAGGGTATAACAAACACAAACTAAGCAAAGAAATAGAGAACTTAAATTTGGTGGTTTTTTTTTTTTTTTTTTGCTTGTTTTTTTCTTTTTAACCTAGCCGATCTACTCACACTCATAAAATGCCTCATGTACTCTGGGCTGAAATTTGGGTTACGGAGCACTTTAGTTGACCACAAGAAAAAAACATCTTAACTCTTAAAAAATAAACACCCCCCCCCTCTAATGGCCCAGTGTTTAAGTCTCAGTGACCATGATGCCCAGGATGAAGAGCTCCTTTCCAACTGGCTTCCCAAGGATTGCAATAAGGCTCCCAACCCAACCTTTGTACCATCTGCAAGCTACAACTGCAGGAGGCTGGAGAAAGCATACTTGGACCCCAACCAAGGGCACAGAAAAGCTTCAATATTCCCCACAGAGGCAACTCGACTAACATTGCACAGATTCTGGCTCAGTGTTTTTGTTTTGTTTTGTTTTGTTTTGTTTTGTTTTGTTTTGTTTTGTTTTCTGCACTGGTCTTTATTGCTGTGGAATTTTTCATAGAAATGTGATCACTTTTACCTTCTTAATTAATTCTCCACTGCTTGCTATGACAGTGACCATACTGAGGCATCAAATAATTTAGGTACCAAAGAAGGCATGTCTATCCCTTTTTAAGTTTTTTACTGAGATTATGCCTTAAAAGGGGCACAAATATTTTTTTAAAAACATAAGTAAATAAGAAAAAGGGCATCAGTTAGTTATTATTGTTATGGGAAAGAAGGAAGGAAGGAAAGAGAGAGAGAAAGAAAGAAAAGGAAGTAAAGAAAGAAGGAAGGAAGGAAAAGAAAGAAAGAGAGAGGGAGGGAAGGAGGGTGGAGGAAGAGAAAGGGGAGAGGGAGGGAGGGAGAGGGAAGGAAGGGAGGGAGGGAGGGAAGAAGGGAGAGAGGGAGAGAGGGAGGAAGGGAGAGAAAGAGAGACTTAGAATAGTGTTTGGCACAAAGTTGGTACTCAAGAAATATTAAATGGATGAATGGATTACTTGGGAATCACATAATGAGAGAATGATTTTAAAGTATTTATTTGAAAACCATGTCATGTTACTTTAGCTCTCTTCAGTGTGTTTTATGAGCCATTCTTTAAGAAATAATAAATAGCAGCATTCTGAGTAATGTACAGTTATTTAATGCTATTTCCCTGGTGATGACCTCTCCATTTGGACTACAAGCCAACAATTACAAAGCTCGTTTTACTCACCCTTTGGTGTGAGACAGATTCTTACATGCTGACTTCTAAACAGGTTTCTAGGATCAAATGCACAGTATTTGTTGTGTATACTTACACAGTGGCTCAATTTCTGCCTAAGGCTATGAAAGTCCTCCACAAAGCGTATTTTCTTGCAGCCTTGCAATTGCAGTTGACCAAAAACGTCTTCCATGAAGAAGGACAGAAGCTGTTCTTGAAATTGACAGTTTTTCTAAAAATAAGATACAAGAAATTGCATATGGTAAATTATGAATCGTTTTTTAATGTCCCCCGATCATTACTTAATTACTCTCTGAAAAAAATTTAAATGCAGGGGGAAATAAACATCAAATAAGTGGAAATGTAAAAAAGAAGAAGACTTTCTGACTTACCATAAACTGCTTTTTTGTTTTCTTTTTTAATAATCGTATATTTTTTATGCGGTCTTCCTACAATAATACAAAGAGAAATAAGTTGTATCCAAGATTGTAAATGTCCTTGAGGTCATGATTTTAAGCAGAGCCTAATACTTACTGGAATCGTTGCTTTGAGCCATGCTGCTTTGATATAGAGAGCGTCAACAGCTTGGGACAATGTTCCCCTTGGGTAACAACTTTTGGTGAAGGAAGATTGCTTGTGCTTGGCAATGGCAAGAGACAGAGTGACTAACAGCAACCCACACCTCAAAATGAAATTCACCAGCATTTCCCTTCACCCCACTCAGCGTGTGTCACTCACAGCAGCCCAAGAGATACTAATGCCGGTTAGATGAGAGGATAACCTACTTAATGTAGCCCTCAAAGCCACCAGTCCAATGAGGTGCTGTGAAAGATAATTTACAGTTTATATAGAGGAAGATCACTTTGGTTGTTCTATTTTTTTAAGAGCTTGCTTCATAGTCAAAAAACGCTGATCACACCATCAACTGACATTATTTAAAAGCTCAGCCTTACTGGTAAGATTGCGTTCTCATTTCCAAAAGAATTCAGAATTTCAGTTGCCTATCACAGCAGCTTGCATTATTTTAAAAGGCATGCCAATAAAAACAGGATGATTTCCAGGGGGCTGTGTCATAATTTTTTAAACCCCATGTGAAAAATCTCCTTTTCTAACCAGAATCCCAGAAAAAATTTAACAAGGGGGTAGAAATGGGCAGCCCCAGGAAATCTGCTCACGATTCAAATGGGTCTTGTGTTTATTGCTTGCCACATCCTTCACCCAGCTTCCCCCAGAGGCCATTATTCTGCAGATAGCAGCGAGAACATTTCCAGTGCAGAAACAGTAACTCCCCTTAACATATTCAAGATATGTTTGGAACTGGACCTGGGACTAAGGTCCACAATGTAATAAGTTCTCTGTCATCTCTGTCCAAATTTACCACTCAGACTTTCCTTATAACTCCCAACTTCCAGGAGAGTGCAAATTCCTTGAAGAAAGAGACCGTATATTTTCACCTTTGAATACAGCATCTACCATGGCACCTCATCTAAAGAAGTGCATCCATTATTAATTGAGTAAATACTTTTGTCACATCATGACGTGCTACCATAACTGCTTTATTTTTTAAATTTCTTCCATTCACACATTTTTATTAAAGACTTGCCTACACAAAAACCAGTGCTAGGTATGAGGGAGCCACCAAGGAGGATTCTCCATAAACTCCCATCCTCATTTCTGTCCCAGTTCTTCCTAGACAGTAAATATGGCTCATTCTGGGTAGCAGCCCCAATATAAGAAGAGGGCAGCCCAGAGTCATATTCTGAGAAGCAGAGATAGGTCACTAAAGCCTAGAATGAATAGAGTTAATGTGTATCAGGGATAAGTCAACACTAGAAATCTGGTTGTGAGTTAAGAGAGTCATCAAAACTAGTCAGTCAATAACAAGCATCAGAACCCAAGACTAAATTCCAAATGAAAGCAAGCAGGGCTGTCAAAAAAACAAAAAAAAAACAAAAAAAAAACAAAAAAAAAACAACCAAGAAGAAAAAGGGAAAATAAGAAAAATGCTTGGACTGATGTCTGCTGTTTCAAAACATGAGTGGATCTCTTGGAAGAATCCAAGCCTTATTTCCCCAGGAGCAAGATCACTGGTAACGACACACCCTATCAATTGAGATGAGAACTATTCACAAAAAAACTATAGCAGAAGTCAGCTGACTGGGAGTGCTGAGTGAAGTTCACTGAAATTTTATGAAATTCAGAAAAAGAAAGAAGTCGTTTCAGTTGGGAGTGGCTGAAAGGATGTTTGAACTAGGACATGAAATACACAAAGGGATTTATTTATTTATTTATTTATTTATTTGAGCAGAGGAATGCCTAGTATTATAAGTTCCTTTGGAAAGAAACAGTGTGAACTTGGAGGGATCAAAAGCTCAAATGCCCTTAGAGGGCGAGGATTAATACAAACACACTGGGTGGGTAGATACCAGATAATTGCGGCTAATATGCTTATATGGTCACCAGTCTTAAAGTCTGTCTAATCACATAGCCTGTTAACACACTGTGCTATAAACACAGAGTGCAATAAAAGGATGACACAAAACACCTCCCAGAGCCATATACTGCCGTGAGCAGCCAATTTCAGATCCCTGGTGTGTACCAACAAAACTTGTGGCTAATATTGATAACTCAAGTGGCTAATATTGATAAATTAAGTTGATGTGGGTTCTGGCTATTTTTTAACTTCTGGTAGTTACATTTCCATAAATACCTTACATCCCTCAAATCATCATCACACAAGGAAAATCCATATATAGTCCTAGAATGCCTCTGCTTTGGTTTGCAGCCAACTCAAGAAAACTGTGGCCATTTCTGTATGAATGACCATATCACCCACTGGATCACAGTCATCCTCCATCTTAGTCAGCAAACCTGCCTCATTAGGGTCCTTTGATAAGCAGGAAGATCTGATCTCAAAGAGTAAATAGTGGCCACTAAAAAGGACGTTCAAAACATGGGCCCTGAACACAGTTCCAAAGAGGAGCCCCCAAAGTGTCCTAAATAACAGAAGAGCCATTAGAATAAATGCATAATACTGTAGGAGCACCAACTGAAAAGATAATTCTCTGCTTCACTGAATGTATATTTATTATATCGCTTTCATGAGTATCTTTTTTTTTTTTTTTTTTTGACACGGAGTCTCGCTCTGTCACCAGGCTGGAGTGCAGTGGCACCATCTCAGCTCACTGCAGTATCTGCCTCCCAGGTTCAAGTGATTCTCCTGCCTCAGCCTCCAGAGTAGCTGGGACTACAGGCACGCACCCTGATGCCCAGCTAATTTTTTGCATTTTAATAGAGATGGGGTTTCACCGTGTTGGCCAGGATGGTCTCGATCTCCTGACCTCGTGATCCACCCGCCTTGGCCTCCCAAAGTGCCGGGATTACAGGCATGAGCCACCGCGCCCAACCACTTTCATAAGTAACTTACACAGAAAGTATAAAAGTTGGTATTAATTACAAAGAGATTGGGTTTCAAAACTCTGATTCACTCTGATTCTGTATGGCCTTGGGGAAGTTATTAGTCCTCTCTGGGCTTCCGTTTTTGTCATCATTAAAATGGAACAATAATCACACCTAACTACAGAGGGTTGTCGTGAGCAAAAATACCGTAATCTAAATAGAATGTCTAGCACAATGACAGCTGTAGAGGCACTCTGGAAGTGGTAGCTACTGATTTATTATTTATGAAATAATAAATAAGAAATGCATGTGTAATACTCTGAATAATGTTAAAGTTTATCATGAGCCTTCAGGAGCCTTCAGAAATGGTTGAAGAAAGTGAGAAAAGTGAAGGAAATGCAAAAATCTGACAATATGTCCAAAAAAATACATAGGCATAAGGAATTGAGTTAATCCCACACACATCCAGAGGGTGAACTTGGACCATTAAGAGGATATTTTAGGGAGGCCACTCTTGTGTAATGTACAGGAGAATATTCAAACAATTGATCTGCCAAAAATATAATTGACTGCCCCAATTTCCAAAAGCCAGCATGGCGGTCATTTTCCTTAAAGTTTAAGTCCTCTCCCACCCAAAAGAATGCCAGCTGCCCTCTCTGATGGCCCAGTGTAGCCCATGAGCAAACTCAGCTCACCAACTCCTGTGCAGAATCTTAGCTCACTTCGAGTCTTCAGTGACACCGCTTTTTATCTGCTTTCCTCCTATGGGGAAAAAACAACAACTAATTGTTGTTACTAACCTATTTGGTTGACACTGAAACACACCTTTTTTTTTTTTTTTTTTACATTTTAATGTCTCTTAAATGACAGTGTGCATTGTAATCCACAGTTATCCCCACCTGCGCAGTCCTGAACTTGGTCACAACCACTAATGATGACATCACTTCACTTGAACTGTGTGCATGGTTGTTACTACAGGTGTTTAATTGCTACTTAAAAGGTCTTCAGAAAGATTATGATTCCGCATTAAAACAAATGTTAATATGTTCATAGAAAGACACAGAACAGCAGTGGGGCACAAATTTGATATTAGAAAAGTAAATATTTGTTTTTGGAGAAATGACCAAAATTACATATTTATTTGAAAAGCAAAAATCAAGTGCTAAATCTTAAGAAAGAAATGCATCATAGTTTAATTAGTAGCACTTTTTCCTTTATTAGTGGTAAACAAAGTAGTGGTGCAATTTCCAGTGTACAACATCTTACATTGGTTGAAATATGTTATTTAATGATCTCAGTGATTGGCATAATTTCTTAGGATCCTAAATCCTAAAATCAATGCAGCTGTGCATAAGAAGTACATGGATCTATGTTTATATAATCATACTATAAAAACTGAAATTCAATATATTTTTTCCAGAATAGAGCCAGAGGATGTAGATAAGAAACAGTGATAGATAGATAAATATGTTTGATGCAAAGATACTGTGGTTTTGCCTCTCCAGAAAAGATAGGCCCCACTACATTGGACAATGGTAAGCCTGGTAACCAACAGAATGGTAAACCTGTTTACCATCGTGATGAGAACAGGTTAGAGAAGGAATGAGGAGTGTTGTAAATGGACTGGAGAGGAAGGAAAGGAGACGTGGAAGCTGGATAAGCAGAAGGGTATGATGGGGAGGAGCACATGAACATTCCCTGAGAGCCTCCACCTGTGTGTCCTGGCCCTTGGCTAGCTGACTTGTACTCTGCAGGTTTGCACATGTCATCATTAACACAGCCATTCATCAAATACTTATTGAGTATTCATTACCTTCCAGGCTGCACTAGGGCCACAGATGCATTAATAAACAAAACACACAAAATTCTTAATTTCATAAAATGTTCTAGTGGGGTGGGGGAACAGACAGACAATAAATAAACATAATAGATGTAAGTTATATCCCTTAAGTACGATATAGACTGTTGGAAAATACTACATGTTTTGAGAAAGATAGACTAGAGTAAGAGAGGTGGAGGTGCTGAGATAGGAGATGATTGTAAATAGATGGTCATACAAGGCCTCAATGCAAAGGGAACATTTAAGTAACATCACGAATGGAGTAAGGGAGTGAGCAATGGAGTTACCTGTTTCAGCCAAAAGCAACTGTCACTGCAATAGGCTAAGAGAAACAGCATGCTTAGCAGGTTCACTGTAGCTAGAAAGGTTGTGTGGATTGTTCTAGAGCAACGGAGGAGGACGGGGAGGATGTCAGGCCAGGGAAGAAACGGATGAAGATCATGCAGAGCCTTTTAGGCTGTTGATAGGACTTTAGCTTCTACTCATGTTATATGGGAATTTTGAGTAGAGGAGTTCTATCATTTGACTTATATTCTTTAAAAAAGAAAATAAGACTCAAACGTCCATTAATGAATGGATGGATAAACCAGTTGTGGTATATATAATATATATATGAAGATTATTCAAACATTTTTTAAATGAAGTACTGATACAGGCTATAACATGGATAATCCTGAAAACACTATACTAAGTGAAGAACACTAGCCTCAACAGGTCACATATTGTGTGATTCCACTTATATGAAATATCCAGAATAAATGAGTACACAGAGACAGGTAACAGAAAGTTGGTTGCCCAGGGCTGGGAGGAGTGCAGAATGGGGAGTAACTGCTTAATGGTATGGGGTTTTCTTTGAGGGTAATGAAAATATTTTGGAACTAGATAAAGGTGATGGTTGCACAACATTATGAACGTACTAAATACCAATGAATTGTTCGCTTTTAAATGGTTAATTTTATGTTAGGTGAATTTCATCTCAACTGTTAAAAAAAGGAGGAGGAGAGGAGGAAGGGAAGGAGGGAGGGAAGAAGGAAGGAAAGAGAGAGCAAGAAAGCAAGAAAGCAAGAAAGCAAAAAAACAAAAGAAAAGAAGAGCCTCACCACAGATGCAGCAGTAGAGAGAGAAGCTACACCTGAGTCATATCTCTACCAAGTCTTATCTGGTACTTCCCTTCTTCTATAATCCAGAAGAATACTTTTTCAACTATACTGTTAATGTAAGCTTTTTAGTAGCTCTAGAAAAACATGCTTAAGAAGCAGAGACTCATACCTCATCCAGCTTTTAAAACATATTTAGATCCATTTAAATGCTTTTTTAAGAGGTGAAATCATGAACTAGTCACTTGTTTGTTGAACCAGAAATTAGTGGAATTAAGAGACACCTTGAATGTCATGAGTGATGACTTAATATTCCACAGGCAGTTGGGGGGAGACAATTTTTGTTTCCTAAAATACAGGCACAACCAAAGATTTCCTATTACGTTTGAGAATGTTGTTAGTTCTTAAAGCAGCTGGCATTGCTCCATTTTAGAGGAAGAATCTGAGCTGCAGGGAAGTCTCATCACACGCCCAGTGGCACACAGCTCAAAAGTGGCAGAGGATTCCAATCCATGTTCATGAAACTCCAAAGCCCACGTGTTTCCCACTGTCTGTGCAGCCTCCCACCACATTAGAGCAGTTCCCAAGGAATGTCTGAAGCTGTGGTAGGCACTACAGAAAATAAGAGATGGGACAGTAACCTAAGAAAAAAGGAAGAAATGAAAATAGGAAATACCTAAGGAATAGTAAAACTTAAATGTTTATGGTATTTTAAAGCTCTTGCATATATATTATAACAATATCTAATTGTAAATAGTACTTCCCAAAGCCACCTCTTTACTTGATCTTCCCAATCCTGCTATAAGAAGTAGAGGGGATCTTGTTTTCTCCAGTTTACAGGTGGGAAAGCCGATACTGACAGAGGTTGTGTGACCTGCCTGAAGGCACAAAGCCAGGAGGTAACAAACCTGGGCCTTGACCCATGTCTTTGAACAACAAACCCAACGGTATTCCCACAGTACCATCTTGCCTCTGGATTAATAAGTAAACATTACATATGTATCATTCCAAAATATCCTTATAGGCAGTGTGAGAATAAACCTACCTTTGAGGAAAATTTTGTATGCTCAAATAGCTATTATTGCAATATATCAATACTCTTCATAGCTTTATAGGTTTGGGGTTATTTTAGCATTTTCAGATTTGACAAACTGGCATTATACATATTGGCTACTCGTTCTCTGACAATGAATAGTACACCATCTACATGATCTGCAAAGAATATGGTACCCTAACTATATTTCAAAAATAAGTCAGCAGATTGCCCATCATCGCTCACACCAAAGGTGATGGAAAATAGCTTCCCTGCTGTTTTCATCTTCACTCTTAGCCCAGCAAAAGAAAAAGGAGAAAAGAACGCACAGTGCACAAAGCCTCCCAAGTTTTATCAAAGCACAGGTGACATCAAAATAACCTTTCCATTTCATTTTCTAAGTACATCAACAAGAAGGTTCACAGTAATAACATCAAGAATTGAGGTGATGTTTAGAAGTCACAATTGTGAGAGCTCTAGAAATAGATGTATCTTTTCTGTCAAAACACATTAATTGTTGCTTCAGCTCTTTGACCCGTGTCCCTGAGGCAGTCAACGTGAGCATGTGATAGACTCTGCTTGGGCTGAGCAATGAATTTGAGCCTGAACTTTCAGGGCACCAGGAATGCGATTTCTCCCTTAAGGATCCCCCTCCAACCCAGAGTAAAAGCCAATATCCTTTCTGCGGCCTAAGGACCTATCCTATCTTGCCTATGCTCCTTACCCCTAACCCTCCCTGCCCCCCAACCTCTATTCCTATTCCTCCTCCTGGCTCACCTAGTCCAGCACAATAGGCTCCTCACTCTTGTGAGGCCCATGGAGCAGGCCTGTGTCTCAGAGCGTTTGCACTTGCTGTTCCCTCTGTCTGAAATGCTTTTCTGTATAGTTAGCAAGCCCTTTCAACTCTTTCAAGTCCTTGCTGAAATATCACCTTCCCAGCAGTGCTTTTCCTGGATGCCTATTATAGGCCAAAGGAGGCATGGGGCGCATGTGTCGTCCTCCATGCCCTCAAATTCTTATGTTAAGGTCCTAACCCTCGGCTTCTCAGAATGTGACTGTGACTAGATTTGAAGATAGGATCTTTAAAGAGGTGATAAAGTTAAAAATGAGGTCACTAGGTTGTGCCCTAATGCAGTATGACGGGAGTCCTTATTAGAAGAGGAGATGAGGGCACAGGTAGAGAGGGAAGACCAACTGAAGACACAAGGAGGGGCCATCTACAAGCCAAGGAGAGAGGACTCAGCAGGAACCAACCCTGCCGACATTGTGATGTCAGACTTGTAGCCTCCAGAACTGTGAGAGGATAGCTTTCTGTTATTTAAGCCACCCAGTGTGTGGGGCTTTGTGGTGGCAGCCCTAGCAAACGAATACAATGCCCTAATTAGGATTCACCCGACTCCCACTCCCTCTATCTCTTTTTTTTGTTTTATTTTCTCCAAAGCCGTTATCATTATCTAACATATGATATATTTCATTTGTGCATTTTGTTTGCTATTTATCTCCCTTTGCTAAAATCTAAGCTCTATCGGAGCAAGGATTTTTGTCTGCTTGTTCGTTGCTGTTACCTCAGTTCCAAACAGTGACTGGTCCATGGTATGTGCCCAATAAATACCATCGGGTTACCGGAGACACCTCCCTACCATCACCACAGAATGCCCTGTGGGACAAAATAGACTATAGGGCTATTTGGGCCATGAGGAGGAGGAAGAAGAAATGTGGGGACATTTGGCATAAAATGATGAGCTCTGCTTTCGGAGGGCTTCTCTGGAAGCTTCTTCTTGATCCTCTTCTGAGATTGGGCAGCCACAAATAGTTCTTTATCTCCTAATTTTGCCTTAGACATCTACAGAACCCACAGTGGGCATCCCCTCCCCTGCCTTCATCATTGTTTCCTGTCTCTCCTCTGCATTTCAAACCAAAGCAGAGGGTAGGAGGGCAGATGAGCTGAGTGTCTGGGTTAGATAGGAGCCTCTAGTGCAGCCCTGTGTTGGCTGATGCCGATGACTTTTCTTCTCTCTCTCTCTCTGCATCTTTTCTCTCATAACTTCCTACACACCATCTGTTCCCTTTACTGCAGTTAAATATGTCTGTGTTTCTTTGTATTACAGGCCTAGGTGCTCTCTGATGGTGGGAATCCACTAATAAGAGGTGTCCAGTTCTTCTAGCAAACTTGTCAGTGCTCATGTCTTCCATGGGTTGTGCCCTGAATCAATGCATTTATTAATTCTTTCAAAATGCAAAATAAAAATTATGTGTTGAGCCTCTACTAGGTGCCAAGAGATATCTTGTCTATGCCCCTTACCCCCATCCCTTGCCCCCCCTACAAACTCTTACCGTTATGGAGCTTAGATTCACATAGGAAATTGGCTCAGCCCAGGTTCCCCAGAAGATAGAGCATGAGGATAAGTTTCTGTGCTGAAGCTCTATTAGGGAAGAGTGAGAGTGATGGAAAAAAGAAATTAGGTCAACCAGGATGGGGAGCAAGTTCATGGCAATGCATAAGTGATCTAGCCAGTGCTTTATGAAGAGAGACAGCCAGCCTCTTGGCCATGTAGGATGTCTCCACAAAGGCTATGCAGAAGCATGCCTTGGGTCAGACCAGGGGAAGGAGAGAGGGGAATGAAAGTTAGATGCCAGCTTCCTCGCCTGCTCTAGGAGGAGTTAACTTCTTCAACCTCTGGATGGTACCTGCTCTCTTTAGCAGCCAAGGGGAAGGTAAATTCCACAACCTATTCCATGGCACTTTATCTGAGTCCAGAGTGGAAGAAAGAGCCAGAGATGATCACTGCAGTGGCAGCAGTGGAGCAAGACAGACCAAGAGAATCTGAGATGGTTCCCATGATGATACAGAGATTTATTGTCTATTGTAATAAAAAAAAACTTATTGTTATCAAAAATGGCTAACAGCAAGGTAGGTTCATCAATATAACAAACATATCACTCTGGTGGGAGATGCTGATCATGGGGTAGTCTATGCATCCATGGGACAGA
Organism: Homo sapiens; assembly: GCF_000001405.40. NCBI lineage: Eukaryota > Metazoa > Chordata > Mammalia > Primates > Hominidae > Homo > Homo sapiens. The sequence continues at coordinate 68,235,412 of NC_000012.12, forward strand.
GGGTGTTTATGGGAAATCTCTGTACCTTCTGTTCAGTTTTGCTGTAAACCTAACACGCCCTATTTATAAAATGGCTAACAAGATAAAATGCTACGATAGTCACGATTTTATTTTATTGTTCTGCAATAACAACTGTGGTTGATATGGAAATTTAATGCAATTTTTGTTAACTCTGGGTCACACCCAGTGCTGAATTTATCTGCCATCTGCCACTCATAACAGATCTTAATAGTTGCCCTCATAACAGATCTTAATAGTTGCCCACAAAACCAATGTCTTTTAATCTTAATCATGGAATTTTGTTTGGGTGTCAGTGTGTGTAGTGCCAGGAGATGAACTGTGGATGATCTAAGCCCAAAGTCAGCAAATCATGACGCAAATCTGGCCTGTAGCTGGTTTTTGTAAGGCTTATGAGCTAAGAAGGGTATTTACACTTTTAAGGGGCTGAGAAGAAGGAGAAGGAGGAAGGAAGATAAGGCGGGAGGAGAAGGAGTAGGGGAAAAGAAGAGGAGGAGAAGGAGGAAGAAGAGAAAGACAAGGAGGGGAAGAAGAAGAAATATACAACAAAGACCATATGTGGCCCACAAAGCCTAAAATATTTACTATTTTTCCTTTAACAAACAAAAATCTTGTCCATTCCTAATCTAAGCCAATGATCAGAATGAACATATGAGACATATTTGACCAAACAGATTATGAGGGGATTTCTGCCTATAGGGCAGGTCCATTTGGAGGGAGGGCAAATCAGCATCTCCCTGGGCTCCCCGCCTGGGGAGAGGGAGAGGAGCTTGGTCGCGGTGCACCTTATTTTTCATTTCTGAGTATCATTAAAATTCAATTTAAACAATTATTCTTCCAGCCAAGATGGAAGTGATTTAATTTCTCCATGAGGATAGGTGTACTTCTCATTTTAAGGACAAGGAATTTTCCATGCAAAGGTTCTGGGGCAGTGAAGAGCAGATCACATGCACTCTGTAGACAAGCCCCATTGGAACAACCTTCTGAAGATGAAAGCCTGGAGAGTTTGGCAAAACCATGGGAAGAAAGCTCAAGATGATTCAACCATGGCTTTAAACCGCAGGGTTCCTAGCAGCCTTCACATGTCAGCAATTATCAATAAAAGCAATCCAACTAGGCTGTAGTTGGGTCTCCTACAGTTTGAGTGTTCCCTTTGAGGGAACACCTCTTGTCTGGCTGTGTCAGAAACAACTTAATTGCTGTGTATTTAGTTTTTTGAATGGATTTTACTCCACACCATCAGTGGCACCAGCTTTCGTATCATTCCTGTGAGCACCTGGTGGTGGGAAGTTTTCATGAGTATCAGCTGCCTAAACTCACCAAAGAGAAAGTGAAAGTACACAGCGTTGATGGAATTGTCATATCAGCCTGTAGCAGGTTAGGGGCTGAGGCCCGGTATGAGCCCAAATCCTGTTAGTCCACCAAGCTCCCTTTGCATAAGTCCCATCAAGAACTGCGTTTCCAGGGACTAGAAATAGAAAACTGAAGAGAATTAATGTTACCAGCTACTGGCCGTTTCCCACTGCATTGCCCACACAAGCTGTGCTCTAGCCACACGGACTTGTGGCCCTCGCCTGAGCACTCTATCCACTTTCACATCCCCAACTCTTTGCTCATCTGGGTCCTTGGGTCCAGAAAGCCATTCAATCCTTTGTGTATCCATCTCAAGCATTTACTGAGCACCTATAAAGTGCCAGGCATTTTCAGGGTATAGGGGCTTAAATGTAGGCAACAGTTTCTGTCCTTAAAAATTCTCAAGATAGACACATAACAAGGGATTAAACTACAGTGTGATAAATGCTAAGAGAGATGTAAATTATACCTTGAGAGCCCTGAAGATGGAGCAATTAACTACGGCTGGATTGCAAAGGGGAAGAAAAAAGGGAAATTTCACAGTGTTGTCATTTGAACCCATTTAAATCCTTCTTGTCCTCCAAAAGATCAGCTTAAATGCAACCTTCGGTGCCTTCCCAATGATGATTGTCATCTTGTTGGTGCCTCACTGGTAGCACATGTCAGTCCACTTGTGCCCTAGGCTGTTGCATGCCTGTCTTCCTCGCAAGACAACTGCAGACTCCTTCAGGGCAGCATCCAAATAAAATCTGACCTTGTGTTTTCAAAGCCCATCCCACAGGATCTTGTATATCCTATGATCTAAAAAATCGTTTAGGAACTAAATTGAATTGAAATTTCTAAGGCTTTCACTGAGACAAGCAGCAATGTAAGAGTTCTAAAATTCCTGGGCAGTTACTGTGCTTAAAAATAGCATCTGTGGCGATGGCAAGATGAAAATGTCACAGATGAAAGAACAGCTCACAAAAGCACCTCACAGCCTGTGAATTTCAAAAAGAAACAGTGCCTACTGGTAAGGACTCAGCTGGTCAATTTCTAGGTGCTATAGAGATTAAACTGCACACACATGGCTAACATAAGATTCAAGATGCAGAGAATGAACCCAGATGGTTAAGCCCCATAGAAACAATGAAGGGACTGTGACTAATAGAAACACGTTGGGTCACCCTGAATATTTTTAGTAGCTGTAACAAGAAAAGAGGAGGAAGATGGGCCACACACAACAGAATCAGCCAAAATGCAAGGTTAAGAGGAGTCAGAATTATTCCAGTGAAAGAATCTCTCATCCTGTAGCTTGCATAGTAGCCCAAATTAAACAAAGATTCCTATGAATGCCCTTGGATGCTGCAGAGAGGGAAGAGCAAACACAGAAAGGAGCAAGGGCACTCCTGGGACTGAGGGGCAGAAGGGAATTTTAGGCTCCTGTAGGCGATAGTGCACATTGGCCTCAGCACCTCTACTTCTTTGTGGAGAAAACTGTTGGAGAAACAGGAAAACAAAATATTAAACAGTATTTAAATTTTAGAAATCAAAATACTGTTGTTTCCAAGTTTGTTTTGTTACAGGATCAAAAATTTACACACGACTCAGACACACCCAAAATTGGTTTTATTTATTGTCCATAAATGATTTCACCTAAATTCCCAGACTCCATCCTGCTGCTGGGTGGGAGTTGGGGAGGGGCGGGAAATGGAAGGGGGAAGAAGAGTAAATAGGGCAGAGTCCCAGTAGAAAATGTATGCTACGTTCAAACTGGGGAATGGATAAGAGTTTAATAATAGATTGATTTTCTTAAGGCATTGTGTTAGTGTGTGCTGCTATAACAAAATACCACAGACCAGATAATTTATAAAGAACAGACATTTATTTCTCACAGTTCTGGAGGCTGGGAAGTCCAAGATCAGGGTGCCAGCAGGTTTGGTGTTTGGTGAGGGCTGGCTCTCTCTCTGCTTCCAAGATGGCGCCTTGTTGTTCATTCTCCAGAGAAGACGAATGCTGTGTCCTCACAGGGTGAAGGTGGAATGGAAAAAAAAGGGCCTAACGCTGTGTGGAGTTTCTTTTAAAAGGGTCTGAATCCCATTCAGGAGGGAGAACCCCTCATGACTTAATCACCTCCTAAAGGTCCCACATCTTAATACTATTGCATTGGAGATAAAGTTTCAACATGAATCTTGGAGGGAACACAAACATTCAAACCATAACAGGTGTGGAAAGAGCTCAAGGAAACCAACAAGAAATAGTGCAATTCCCTGAGACTAACAACAGCTAGCTGGCTGTTGAAGTAAGGGTTGAGAGTGGTTTTCAGAACTAACAAAGATATCTATATGGAGAAGGGCTGTCTGCAAGAGCTGAGGCTTTTGGTAGAAGTACATAGCCAACCAGCATGGCAGCCTGGCAGGAGAGCTCCAAGGGATTAGATACTCTGACCTTATCCTCCCCACCCCCCAGCCCACCCTTCGATCTCCCGGTACTTCTTCCATTAGCCAAATACAATCAAAAGCCAGGGAGCTTGCATGTATATGAACCAATCCATATACGTCAGCCTCTTTGGGCACCAAGTAGAGTGGAAAAGTACAGAATATGGATCTGGAGGGCCAGATGGACACCTTGCATCCCTTGTGTCTTCAGCATCCACTCTTATCTTTATCCAGGTGAAAAATGTGTATTGGCAGCCTAGGAAACATATAGAATCTCATCAGCTACCATATCATTATAGGATGATGTCATTGTGGTCATATTCCCACCTGAAAACAAAAATATTAGCCACCACAAGTACTCTTCAAATAAAAGGGAGGAAAGGAGGGGAGAAGACAAACAATGAACAGAAATCCTATCTGCTACAGCTCCTGCTTTTATAGCAATTCGAAAGACCCAAGTTAACAAGTGTGGATTCTTTCTTCCACCACCGCTTTATTTTTCCCTTACCCTCTGCCTGTACCACAGTAGAATGGAGTCCTTTGCCTGGTAAAGTGACTTAAACCCTCATTCCCATAGAAACGGAATGCTTAATGATTCTGTCTCTTCTGAGTTGATGCAATTTTCCAATGAAAATACTCCTGAACAAGGGGCTGTTACAAGAAAAATCCAGTGAATCTCCTCGGTTCAGGCAGAAGATAAATTCACTGAGGCTGTGTTTGCCTCCGAGACAAGAGGACTTCAGCCTTCAACCCTTGGTATTACTTCATTCTCCTCATCTAAGTGTCTTCACTCAAATCTTAAAAACTTCCTTTCAGAAAAAATCACCTGTCTTCCTTCAATTCCTATACGGAGCACTTTCTGCTAGTGAATAATATAGTATAAATGAAGAACCAGAAGAAACACTAAAGAATTTCTTTTCCTGTTTGTGAATGTGATTCATACATAACTCCTATTTCCCAGGCAACCCATGCTGAGTGTCACAGTAAGAGTCACAAGCCAGATTTCTCTGGCTCTGCTCCCTTCCACTCCAATGCAATCATTGCTTCTTTCCTAGACTCTCGTCCTGGCCTTGCTTCTATCCTTACTCCTCCTAGATTTACTCTGCATTATCAACCAGAGTGATCTTTACAAAACATGAGTCATACCAAGCCTTCCTCATGCTTGAAACCCTCTGGTGGCTTTTCCTCAGCCTTAGAACAAAATCCAAAGTCCTGCTCTAGCTTGCAAAGACACACATACCTGGTCCTAGTCAAATGTTGGGCTCATCTTAAGCTTTGCCCTTTACCCAGGCTACTCCAGTCCCAACCTTCTTGCTACTTCTTGAATACGCCAAACTTGCCTCATCTCAAGGTGATATCCCCAGATATTCACATGGCCCATGTCCCCACCTCATTCAGATATCTGCCCTCCAAGAGGCCTTCCCTGATCTCCTTACCTAAATTAACCCCCATTAAGTTCTACCCCCACGCCCTACTTTGTTTTTCTTCATAGCAGATATCCATGCTTGTTATTATACTATATGTCCTCTGTTATATTTACATTAGAATGCAAGTTCTATGAGGACACGGGCTCTGTACGTATGATGTTTACCTTCACACCCCATGGCATCAGGTTAACACCCAATAAGTACATACTGAAAATTAAATAAGTGGCCAAAGTAAATAAATAACTAATTTCATATGTGCTAAGTACAACAAAGAAAAATGAAGTGGGGTGATGGGAGGGGAGGGGAGGGTGTGGAGGGTGGTGAAGAGGTTGTGTTTGATAGGGTGGCCAGCATAGATCTTTCTGAGGCAGTAACATTTGAGCAGGACCTGAATGAAGGGAGGGAATTATCATGAAATATTAGTGGGAAGATTGTTCTGGGCTTAGGAAAACAGCCAGTGCAAAGACTCCTTGTCAGGAGCTAGACTGGTGCATGTGAGGACCAGCCGGTAGGCCTTGTGACTGCAGCAGAGAGCTCAAGGGAAGGGTGATAGCAGATGAGACTGCAGAGGTGGGGTGATGATATAAACTTTCAGTTTCATTCTCACTGTGAAGGGAAGCCCTTAGGGGAAGCCAGGATGTGCCCAATCTACTGTTTTTAATTTGTAAGTTTACTTTGGCTCCTGAGTTAAAAACAGACAGTAGGAGGAACTTTAGAAACTTCAATACTATGGTAATTTAGAGGACAGATGATAGTGGCATGGATGGGCTTTAGCCAGAATGAGAAGTGAACAGATTCAGCCGTTACTTTGGAGTTAGAGCAAACAGGACTTCTGACACATTCAATGTGCAGGGTTAGGGAAGGAAAAACCAAGGTTGACTCTAGCTACTTCTGAAATATATCAGAATATAAAGTCTCTCAGTTTCTTACCTTCCAATTTTAGGGGTAAATATTCTTCCACTTATAGCTCAGTTTCCAGAAGACTGGCCAAAAAAAATATGATATCAACTTTTGCTCTAGTCATTACATGGAGACTCATTTGGAAAAGGAAAGACTCCTTAACCTCAGCTAATCACAGAAAAAAAAATATTATAATTCTATCATCCCTGAAAGGGAACATCAGTGCCTCTCAGCATTTGGAACCTGCCATGGGTGAGCAGCAACTATCTGAGGCCCATGGTACAGGTGGTAAAAGAACTTACCAAGACAGTTGTAGGTAAAGAAAGGCAGATTTATTAGAGAAAGTATGATAATATGTTGCAAGAGTGCAATGGGCAAGTTAGTAAAAGACGGGCTAACTGCCGGGAAACAAAGGCTTGCTGGGGATTTTGTAGACTGGAACGTGGGCCGAAGAGTGCTGCCTGCAGTACTGATAACGCCAAGGCTGCAGGGAGCTAACTCGCCGGTGTCTGGTGGTAAGCTGGGCACAGGAGGGCTATATGTCCTGGACCATGAAGAAAAGCAGACTTTATAGCTTATCTACTTGCTTTTTTTGCTTTCCCTCAGTCCCACCAGCCTAACTCCTTTTCCTTAATTAGGACTTCACATTCCCCCCCTAACAGAGCAAGAATGACAAATCTTTGGCATGTGAGTGAAGGTCTCATCTTCCAACTGCTTCCTGCTGACCAGAAGTGAAGAGTTGGCCCTACCTAGGATTGCTGCTCAGTTAGGAGGTTCCATGGGTCTAAATCCCTAAGTTAGGACTTAAATTGAGCCGGGTTGCTGTGAGACTATGGGGGAACCGCATTTGCAGCCTAAAATTTTGTTCTGCTGCATCCAAAGGAGAGTCATGGAGTTCTTTTAGAAGCTGATATCCCTCGCTGCAGTAACATTTTGGTTTGAGATTATTGTATTCTAGAAGACGCAACATGAGATATTGCAGTAAAAATATGTGGTGCAAGTAAACAAACTAATATGAACATTATTATAGGGGGGAGAAGTTGGGCAACCCATGGCCAAACCCAGCTGGAGAAATTTTGAATAGTTGTGCCAAAAAAAAAATCTTGACGAACTCTTTTTTGAAGGCCCTCTGATACCTTGATATTCTCTTTTACCTTTTTTAAACTTTCTTCTATTTGACCTGAAGTATTGATGTAAAAGCAGCAGGTTTCACTTAACAGCACACAAGTGCCTCCTGCCTTGGTGGTAAGCACATCTAAAGCATGTTGATTCTGCAGGACAACCCCTGACAATGAAATTAGGGCCTGTTTCTGGGCCTCAATGGCTGTGACTTTAGGTTTCCAAGATTGCTGGACTAAGATGGTGAGTGTATTAGTCTGTTTTCCTGCTTCTGATAAAGAGATACCTCAGACTGGGCAATTAACAAAAGAAAGAGGTTTATTGGACTCACAGTTCCATGTGGCTGTGGAGGCCTTATAACCATGGCAGAAAGTGAAAGGCACACCTCACATGGCAGCAGACAAGAGAAGAGAGCTTTTGCAGGGAAACTCCCCTTTTTAAAACCATCAGATCTTGTGAGACTTATTCTACTATCAAGAGAACAGCACCCATGATTCAATTACCTCCCACTGGGTCCCTCCCACAACATGTGGGAATTCAAGATGAGATTTTGGTGGGGACATAGCCAAACCATATCAGTGAGATTACAAATGCTGTGCTTGAGCATGGGTATACCTGCAAACCAAGAGTCCACTGACTATAGAATATTCTAGACCATTTCTCTCCATAATGGGATTATCAGTGGCAAGGATGCCAAATGGTGGGAGGTTAAGTTCCACTTTTGTTTTCTTTCTTCTGATGATCTTTAGAGGGCTCCACTTAGGAAGAACACCAAATTTGGAACTTGGCCAGAGGTTATGAAGTTCGAGGAGTTATATATATGCGCTCCAGGTATGGCTGCAGCTGTAGTACAGGTGCCCATCCACTTAATAGGCAAGGCTAGAAACATGATGGATACCCATAAAAAGAAGAACCCAATTCCTTTTAATGAAACTCCCAAGGAGGGACTTTGTAACCAGGCATAGGCGTGATCAGTTTGGATTCCAGTATAATTTGCATAAATAAGGGGATTTCATGGTCCCCGGGGATTAAATGTGAACGGGCAATGACCGAAAAAGTAGTTATCCACACATAAGGGAGTCAAAGTTTCACTTGTTGTGTTGTGTAAATATGGGGCCTGACAGATAAGAGTTCTAAATATTAATTGGTTAAAGGAAAATCGAGGAAAAGCTGTATTAGTGAGGTTAAGAAGTTGTCCAGTTTCAACCCCTATTCCTATATATTCCATCCCAGTTGCTAAACTATTTACAGGCATAAAGGAATCATTTTAAATTTTGCTGGCATTAACTTTGTTGTTTTCCCACCATAGAGAAAACCTGTGGAGGTCCTCGGTGAACTCATCAGTCATCATACAGCTCCCATTCCTGGTGTGTCTCTTTATAGTTGAAGGTGTAATTACAATGGGCTTGTGTTAAAGCCCCTAGGAAAGGGCCAGGCCCTTCTGAGTTTCTGAAGTCTCACTTTACAGGCCATTTCTGGTGCCTTCCCTATTCACTGGGTTACAGTGGATGATTGCCATGAGAGATCAATTGGCCTAGGTGCCCCCCCTATACCTGTGTTTTTGGTGTACGTGTACATAGTGTAGTCAAATCCAGAGTATCAAGTATTGGGCTTGCATGGTAGCCATTTCTTCTCTAGAGAGTGGGATGGCTAGGAATGTAATGTTATTCTCGACTGCCTGCCTATGTGGGCATATCCAGCAGTTAGTACGATGTGGTATGTTAGTAACCTGAGATATTACTGGGTAGAGCAGGTGCCTGGTTGCAGCCATTGAGGCAATAGTTAGCCATGATAGACACCAACAAAACAGAGCCATATTTAAGGAAAATGACAATATATAGTAAACTTAGAAAAGAAGAAGGGCTGCAAAGAGTATGAGAAAAACAGTTAAACAAATACCTAGTATCTTAGCACATCAATGTTGTGGTTTAGGGGTAAATAACATTACTAGGACAAGTATAAAGAAATTTCGGCCCTGACACCTGTAAACCCAGCACTTTGGGAGGCTGAGGCGGGCTGATCACTTGAGGCCAGGAGTTCAAGACCAGCCTGGCCAACATGGTGAAATCTTGTTTCTATTAAAAATATAAAAATTAGCCGGGCATGGTGGCAGGCGACTGTAGTCCCAGCTACTCAGGAGGCTGAGGTGGGAGAATCACTTGAACCCGGGAGGTGGAGGTTGCAGTGAGCCAAGATTGTGCCACTGTACTCCAGGCTGGGTGACAGAGCAAGACTCCGTCTCAAAAAAGAAAAAGAAAAAAGAAAGAAAGAAATTTCATCTGGGTAGTAGTTTTGGAAGTCTCCCTGCAAATAGCAATTTTGTACTATTTCCCTTATAAAAGCATTAATATTAAGAGCATGAAGCTGCTCAAGGGAGGCAGATGGATAATTACTGAGAGCTTGCAGTAAAATTGAATAAAAAGAGCCGCTTTAAGAGTAGTATTTAAAAGAGGTGTTGGATTTATTTTCATTAACTTTTAAGGAGGTTAAAAATTCTAGGCTGCTTGATTTAACAAAACCTCTTTTACCTTTTTTCTTTAAATGAGTTTTCAATGTTTATATTCTAGTTAGACCATAAATAATGAGTCTTATCTCAGCACTGGCAGCTTAGTAACAGCAGATTTAAAGCAGGCAGAAAAAAGAGGGGGAAGACAGAGAGCTTTAGGAGACTCTACTTAACTCTGTAGTGCAGATTGACCATTTGAGCTCTGAAGTTTTCTCGTTGTAATTTGCCCATTAGTTTAAAATGTGCACAGAAACAGGCCATAATATGTAACCAGCTGGAGATTTAAAGAGAATGACAAAATCAGGGGTTAGGACATTAGAAACTGTCTTTCCCTTTTAAGGCTGGACCCCTGGAATGAACAGAAAAAGAGAAAAAGAAAAGCAAAGAATGGAGAGGAAAAGGTTAAGTTTTATGGGAGGGCTTGTGAGCCTTCCAGCCACTGCACAGCCTGTGGAGCAGGGCCAGCACCTCTACCACTTTCATTTATCTCCCATCAGGGAAAGCCTTAGCACCCCAGACTTCACAGTGTGAGACGAATTTCTCCCACTTCCACCCGTCACCAGCTAAGGTGACCTGTTCCAGCCAGAGCCGAGAGCCCCTTCAGCTTAAGGCCATTAGGAGTTGGGATTTTGTTCCAGGGGCCCTTCGGCTCTCAGGGCAATCCCGTTTCCAGTGGTGGAGCTTGCAGCAGAGGGGGCAAGCCATATGGGGCTTTTTTCCTTTTATTTCATTGGATCAGTTTGCCTTTCTTCTTGCCTGCTCTTCTGCTCCAGTGGTGGTTATCTGGAGGAGAGTGCTTAGGGCAACTTGGAGGGGGTTGGGGACTTGTAAAGCAGCCAACAGTTAAGCCTGCCTCTTGTCTCTGTCTTTTTCTTTCTTCTTAGCTTTGTTTTCTTTATTCTGCTTTTGGTTATAAAGACTAAGGAGGCTAATTTGAGGATTGCCTGCATAGGAGCCATGCTGTATTACACAAGAAAATTAGAAGCTTCTTTTTGAGAGTCTGAGGGTTAAGTTTGTTCCAATGCTTTAGAATGCAGCCTAGAGGTGAGTCTGAAAGAATAGATGGGGTTGTCCCATGGCGGGACTGGAAAACACACCACTCAGAGCCTCATGAACTGCATTTTTAGAGTTCCCAGTACTCACCACTACATCACGGAACCTCACACTGAACTGCATTTTCTCTTGGGGCATCCCACCGAGATGAAAAGCGGTCCACTTGCATCCACCAAGGGGACTTGGGTGCACTTTCTAATGGGGCATCCTACCTATTAGTAAAGACCTCTCAGCCACTTGGGGACCTTAACTTGGATGATTAGTCCAGGTACTCACTTAACGCTAGATGATCAGCCTAGATACGAGGAAAAAGGTAAAGGAAGAACTCCACCTGGCGCCAGCCCAGGGAAGGGGCAGGGAAGGGAAGACTCACTGTTCTGAGGCTGTCTGAGTTCACCTTATTCAGCAACATCAGAACAGAATGGCTGGCTGAGTCCATGGGGGAATTCAGAATGAGAAAGAGAGGGTCTGAGGCACCCAAAACATGTGTGAATTCGCTCTGAATGAGCCTCCGCTACCAGTCATGCCACACTTAGGGATTAGGGACTTCTGACCAGAGAAGAGAGGAAAAAGCCTTCCTGCCTAATGGGAGAGGCAGATAACTCTGTTCACCCTCTGACCTTTAGGCAGCACCGGAGAACAGCCCTGGCCAGTTACCATCAATTGCCAGAGAGATACTAGAAGCTGGCTGCTGAAAGACTGAAAAGAGAAAATAAACTTAGGTGCCTCACCTGAATGGGCATGGAAGTCAGATGCTTCCACGGGGACACCTTTCAGCCCACCAGAGTGTAGCTCTGGCCAGAGACCTACAATTGTCTCCGTGCTTAGATGCTATCCACTGAGGGTTCCAAGTTGGGAAAGAGAGAGAGGCAAGAGAGTTCCCTATGAGGAGAGACAGCCCCCATGCAGAGAGAGTTCCCCATAAGGAGAGAGAGCTCCCCATATGGGCCACCAAAATGTTGTGGGTGAGTGACAACTATCTGAGGCTGGTGGCACAGGTGGTAAAAGAATTTACCAAGACAGTTGTGGGTAAAGAAAGGCAGATTTACTAGAGAAAGTATGAAAATATGTTGCAAGAGTGCAACGGGCAAGGTAGCAAAAGAGGGGCTGACTGCCAGGAAAAGACAAAGGCTTGCTGGGAATTTTTTCTATGTGCTCCCCTCTCACCACCAGGCTGGACCTAATCCTGCAGGAACTTGGCCAACAACTGACAAGTGACCTGCAAAGTTGGTCCTGATTTTTTGGAGAAGAAAATACCTTAGCAGTTCATGACTGACTTCTGATCATTGACTTTGACCTCATATGAAAAGACCTACACAATCTTTCAAATCCCTTCCCCCAGGAATGGCTCTTCATTGCTGGCATCCTTTGTCCATTCTTCTTGGTAGAACAAATCCAACCTTTATCTCTACCTCTTTCTCTCTCTTCTCTGTAGCATTGTACACATTTTGAAGATGAACCCCTTTTCCTTTCTATGTGTGTTTCATAATATCTTGCCCATCTTCCACCTATGAGACTTCCCTATCAGTGCCAAACTTACTAGTAGGTATGACTCCCCAAAACACAGCTTTCCTTTTCCTTTAGTGTCTTACTTTCAGGGATACTGGAGAGTGCACCTTTCAGTAGGCCTGAACTAGAACTAAAACAGTTTATCTATAGCAATAGAGGCTACATGTACTTCTCTCCAGCAACATCATTCCTTTCTTTTATCCATAAATGACTAATGATAAGTTATTTTCAATTTCTCAACTTTTTTCTTTTCAAAGGTACATGCTGAGTCAACATAATAAATCAGTATAGGCACTATAGCAGAGAGCCTTGAAATCAGATAGACCTGGCTCAATAAGGGTCAACTATTTATAGTTATAAAATGTTTCTTAACATGTTTCTAATGCAGCTTTCTCATTTGTAAAATTAGAATAATACTAATAGCTACCTCATTTTCTTAGAGTCAAGAATAAAGTTATGGGAATGGTAACATGACAATGATGATGATGATGATGACATTAAAGGAGAAAAATCACAAAACGACAAGACTTAGGATATCCAAGTGTTTATTGAGGTCAAATAAACATGTTATAGCTCTATAATTATTGTCATAAATATCAATATTAGCCTTACACTCAAGTAGCAATATCGAATGATGTTTCTATAAATAAATCCATATTAATAAAATGATATAAATAAAATGCAGTCTTATAATAATAATAAATACATTTATAAATATAAAGTACTGATTATGGAAACATGAAGCTATTTAGGGGTTTTTTCCCCTAAAGGAATGGAAAGTAATCTTTTTTATGGAAAAAGACAATTATTTAAAAAATAAATTGTTTTCTGTGTATAGAACACCAGTTACAATGAAATGTTATCAATAAATATCTATGCTTAGAAAGTCTACCTTCTGGTCTTATAAACAAAAGTGGCATTGGTTTCCTTTGTAACTAACGCAGGGGTTCATTTGGAATCCACCCATCATGATGGAGTTTGGCTTCCCATCTTCCTTTTGGTTAAAAAAAATCGCTTTGGGGCATCTAATTGTTATTTCTAGCAGGGAAAGGGGGTTAGTTATTCATTTTTCAGCTTTGCTCTGGTCAAATGCAGGCATTTCTCAGAGACATAAACAGCAAATCCAGTTCTCCAATTGCTTTGATCTCTCCACTCTCTCCAAGCTGTGAAAATAAGAATGCAAAAGTATTTGAGCATTTATGCCATGTTTTCTAAAGTGAACAAATTAGAAATTGCAAGATTAGGTTGATGGAGACAGAAACCGAGTTTTAAGCATTTGTAAAACATTCATAGTAATATCCCTTTAGTATTGTATGATTTGCCAAAGAGCTTAAAATGACGGCTCTCTGGACTGAGAGGCCACCAGCAGGCATCAATTTCAGGTGCACCTCACACTAATGAAGCTGTTTAAAAGCTGGGCAGAGAGTTGACCACCCCTTCTTAACCAGAGCAAGGAGACTGAAGTGAGGCTGGGATCTGGGGGATCCCGAGTGCCACCCATTATGCCTTGGCCTGTTTTGCAGCTCCAAAACTATCTATGACAGATTACTTATAAGGAGCTTGTCCAACCTGCAGCCCACAGGCCGCACATGGCCCAGGACAGCTTTGAATGCACCCTAACAGAAATTCATAAACTTTCTTAAAACAGTATGAGATTTATGCATGGACTTTTTTAGCTCATCAGCTATTGTTCTTGTATTTTATGTGTGTACCAAGACAATTCTTTCAAGGTGGTCCAGGGAAGCCAAATGATTGGACACTCCTGATTTAAAACATCTCTACTCAAATGACTTTGAACCATGTATTCACCAATACATTAAGGCTTTTTCTATTTCCACCTTTTTGACAAACAGTAAAAGAAAAGTTTTCACTTTTGTGGGAAAAATACCAAATAAGTCTTTTCCACTTGCTTTAGTTAATAGAAAACCAGATATAGGTCCTAACATTCATTCTTTCTCTCTCCAAGTCAAATGCAGATGAGGATCCCAAACTTAATCGAAGAGGAAACCCAAATTCAAGTGAAAAGCATTCCCTACTGAAATTCCTCTAATCTATCATATTTGCATTATTTCAAGAAAAACCTTGTCACCATTGTCCTCTGTATAATACATGGTTCTTCCTTTTCCTGCTTTCTTCCGCCCTTTCACCTTTCCATACTTCTTTTGACATAAGGCCAAAAAGATATTCTTTTCTATCTCAAAGACTCCAAGACTATAAAGAATTTTAAAGTTTATCGTCCCCTACTGTCTGTCATGCATTTTACTACCAACCTGCGTTCTGCTTTTACCCCCAACGAGAGGGAATTAATGCCTCCCAAAACCACCCTATTTCAGACAGCTCTGACAGTTTCTCCTCCTGTTGATCTTTCTCTGAACAACATTGCTCTCCCTCCTGTGCTTTCTGAAGCTACCAGCAAAAAAGCATAATCACTCTTCCACATGGCAACCCATTGCAAATATGAAATTGATTCTTTCAAAATGGATTAAAGGTCTTGAAAATCACACAGATCACCATGAGATTCTCCTCTCTCACACTTCACTTTTCTAAAGACAACAAGCAAGATGAAATCAGTAATTTTTTAAGCAAGATGTGTAAAGCATGCCTTGTCTGTGGCATGCTAACATTCAGCCCTCCATGTCTAGATAATAGTTCTATAACAAGAGAACTGGGCTTCACAATTTAAAACTACAAAGCCTTCAATTATCAAAGGAAGAAACAGTCACACTCATTAAATGATGCTCAGGAAGAAACGCTTTTTTAAAAAGTCAAGAGGGAAAAAGGGGGAATTAAGGTTAAGCTTGTTACTGAAAATTCCATCAACTGGAGCCTTCATGTTTCTGAGTATTTAGTTGTACCTGCTTGCAAGAGCGTCACTTTCACTGCTCCTAATCATTCCTCCGGTTTTGGGGTGAGTCACTATTGTTAGTCTAAGCCTTCCATTGTTGTTCTTTTCACCAAATAGGCCACATGATGGTATCATTCACTATAGAAATGTACACCAGCCCACCATGGATAAATGCTCCCTAGGGATTTGTTGAGGGAGTGAAGGAAGAAACTAGAATGGAAGGTCTTGATGGGAGAGAGGAAGAAAAAAAAGCTTACCAATTCAGACTTCCATTTAACTTTAATAAATCTCTTACTAATATTTTTACTCTATTTGAACCTGTATAAAAGAGATCGGGGTTGTCTGCTCTTGCTTTTAAACTATAATCAATATCTGATAGATATTATGATAATTCAAAATAAGTGTTTATTACTCCAGAAATTAGCCCTATATGCAAGTCCAGCTCTTTTCTCATTGTTCTGAGTTTATTCTTCCAAGTTTCAAAGCAATGCATTAATGACTTCAAAAATGACTTCAAATAAATTTGCCCATAGGCATTTTTCTGTTTTTAAACAAGTACTTCTTCAGATTACATGAGTCAATAGGAATCTGAAATTTCCCTAAGAATTAATGGTACCAAAACTAATCTGTATCACCACCGGGAAAAGTGCTGGCTTGGGATTCAGGAGACCTGCATTCTAGCCCTATCTCTGCCACTGACCATCCCCAGAATCTGAGGTTATGTGACTAGACAAGCTAAGATCCCAACCAGTTCTAGAATTCTACAATTTGCAAGATTTGGAAACTGACATCTAGATATATAGATATATCTACATACACAGACACCAAAGTAATCGCCCTGGTGGTAGGAGAATCAAGTGAAAAATCACAAAGTGATGGGAAGAAAGAAAGGAAAGAAAAACAACATTTGTCTCTCCTATTGCATGACTTAGCATTGACAGTTATCAGTCCTACCTTTTTCACTGTGTCCTTCAGCTTTTGCACATTCCTCTGGATATGCAGGTCATCACCTTCAATATGCTATAAAACAATAACAAGCATAACTATCTTAATGTTGTGCTGAAACTTTATGAACCTCCACACCCATGGAGGTACAGTACAATTCACCTGGAATTAAAGCTCTTAGTAATTTTGCCCACAATGACCTAGATTTCAACAGTGACCTAGATTTCCTGAGCTCTTGAATTCCCTTGGACGCCAGAATCCAGTCACTTCCCTTACAAGAGACCTCTCTTCATCTTTGGGAAATCCTACTGAGGTTTGCATTTGTGGAA
The DNA here is from genome assembly GCF_000001405.40 of Homo sapiens. Classification (NCBI taxonomy): domain Eukaryota; kingdom Metazoa; phylum Chordata; class Mammalia; order Primates; family Hominidae; genus Homo; species Homo sapiens. The sequence goes on from NC_000012.12 coordinate 68,251,833, forward strand.
AGAGCGGAGTAGTTTATGCAAATTCTGTAAGGAATAAAACCTCAATCGTATCTCCAGAAAATTGCATGCTTAGAACAAGAAATGTACATAAAACATCTCATGTGAAAATTAAGCCCTCTTCAGTAAGTCCTAGGGCCTTTTACTGGGCCCACTCCACTCAAACTTTTTTTCATAGTTTCAAATGTTCAGCGGCATCAAGTTCACACGCCTCCGATTTTGTGGCTTCCCATGACATCAACAGGGCAACAGTCTGCCGACCCACCACCGACTTTAAGCCTTCCCATTTCCCACTTTCTCTTCTAATTTCTCTCCATGCCATCCCCTCCCCTCAACAACTTAGACTCAATGGATCCATTTCCACATCTAGATGTTTTTCCCAACACCTTTCTCATCTTACGCAACCTGAGTTGCCTTTTTTCCGAAGACAAACCAATGCGGCTTCTGTACACTTAAGTTCCAGACCCCATTCACCACTATAAACTCAAGATGTGACTCAGTCAAAGCAAAAGCAAATACTCTATGATCCCAAATGACTCCTGATAACACTGCTGCCAAGACACTTCTTCCTGCTAGCTTAGGGGTAGGGGGAAGGAGAGAGAGTTGGGGTAAGGGGGTCTCTGTGGAAGGAGGGAAGGAGGGGTAGGTGGGCATAGGCTGAGAGCTGAACTTACACATGTGCTTAGCCTGTTGCTGAGCCTGGCCAGGAAGGGCACCACCTCCTGCATATAAGGCTGGAACCTATCAGATTGAGGGAACAGCACTTCTTCAAGGGTGAAGTTCAGCACCTGCTTCATCAGATAGCAGCGCTCACTCATCTGCAGGTGGAAGGGAAACAGAAAGGGTCATAAGGGATAAGACCTAAACCATCATCACCACCACCCCAAGTACCCATGGACGGCACACGGCCCTGTTCGTCACAACTGTAGCTTACACTGACTCCGTGGAACAGTTTCTCCCCAATGAGACGAACGTCTGTGTTGTTATCAGCCAAGCTAGCCTGGAAGAGAAGAAAAGACTAAGGGTCTGGACATTGAGCAAATAGAAAAAAAATTTATACATAGACATGTGCCCCATCCCGTCTCCCCAGAGCAACATCATAAAGACTAAAAGCAGAATTCAGATGTGTGCATGAGTTTAGAACAATGCACAGAGGCATAAAGGAAAAAAAAAATCATCAGATGGATTACTGAATGGCCGCTCTTTGGGAAAAATTCATCATATGTATCATAAAGGCCAAAATGGAAGGAAGAAGTTCAAGAAAAAAAAAAAAGCCAGATTCCCAAAGAGTCTCTGAAAAAACAGAAAATTTATCTACCCTCAGGGATAAACAGTGGGTTCCTAAAGCTCTTAGAGATGCTCTGAAGAAAAGTTTAAGAACTATTTGGATTCCAAGTAGATCCAACGAGAAAGAGCAGGATTGAGATGTATACCTCCTTAGCCAGCATGAAGGTGCGGTTGGTGATATAGGGCTGCTGGAAGTTGGACTTGTCAAGCCTGCAGTGGGAGCTGATGGGCGCAGCTGCTCCTCCCTGTACCAAGAGGGCCAAGAGAAGGAGGCAGCTGGTGGCCAGGGTCCCCATAAGGAAAGAGCTCACAGATTTCTGCAGGGCGGCCATTGCAGACAATTCTAACTCGAGCAACTGGTGACTGGGGAAGGAGAACCTGGTCGAAGACAACGTGAAGGAACAAAATTAGTCAAGAAGTATTTCATCAAACTAACCAATTGTACCAAGTTTGCCGAAACGCTTACCTGTTCTGAAGATTCTGCTTGTGACGGGGAAGGTAGAAGCTGCTGCTTTTATAGCCCCCAGGATACTGACTTTTTTTTAATTGTGAAAAATATGACATCAGCAATTATCTAATTTCCAGTACTGTCTTCTGAGAACGACCTAACCACCACAGGAGCCCACAAAACACCACCTCTATCCTTTCCACCTTGAGATGCAAGTGTTTCCCTAAAACGTCACTATTAGAGCCCGGAGGGTATTTTACAGACAAATCCCAGAAATTTTCTAAACCCTACATATTTTTCAAAGAACACAATTGTTTTGTCTTAGTAGAGTTCAGATTTAGTATAAAATGTTTTGATCTCCTATAGTGGCTGAGTAAGCATTTTGGTCACGGACTCATTTTCCTACCAGCTTTATAGATTCTTATCTCATTGGAGGTGATCAGAAAAAAAGGACCCATGTCCTATATCCTCTGCTTTAAAGTAAATGGTAATGACAGCTAACAGATCATTCCATTATTAAAATAATTTTATCTCATTTTTAAACATGCTGAATTCTAAACCAGACTTATGTTTCAAAAATAACTGTCTTGGCTAATCTAATTATTGTTTTCTTCCCTTTTTGGAACTATTTTTAAGTGATCATAACAATTAAGGCAGAAGTAAATATATCTTAAAATTGTATTAATTGAATTATAATCAATATCAACTTAAGTTTGTAAATACTAATGCTGAAAATCTGATCTCCTTTTTTCTTAACATGTAAACTTTTTTTAAAATAAAAGAATACCATGGATATAGTTCATCTTAAAATTTTACCTAATTCTACACTTCACACAAGTCTCAACATAATATTTCCAAATAATCCTATAACAACTATATATGTGTGTGTATATATATTATATATGTGTGTATACTATATATATACATATATATGCAACATTTTATATATATACATATATACACACACACACATGGATGTCTGAAGAAGGGAATATAGGAATATAGAGGTTCCGCGTTACCTTCAAATTATTTAAAAATACACCTAAAACTAGACTGGAAATTCTCCCGCAGAGCAAGGAAGCAAATGCAAGTATCAAAATGCAAATACCTATTGCTGAGGGAAGGAATGTGAATTAGTGCAAATTTGTATAATCAGATTTTTCTCCTCACAACTAGTTAAGATCAGGAGTGTTGAAGAACTGGAAGTAGGGATGTAAATAATTGTAAAACCTAGACCACTTTTTGAGATGGCACAGACCTAAGCAAGGTGCCACTGCAAAGGGTCGGAACCACATGAGGACACTGAGCATTTGTGAAGGTGGCCAGAGGAGAAAGAAGCAAAAATGAAGATTAGTGAGAGTAAAAAACACCACATGATCACACTTGCATGTGGAATCTAAAACACTTGAACTCATAGAAGGAAAGAGTAGAATGGTGGTTGCCAGGGGCTGGGTGGGCAAGGGGCAGCGAGATGGGGAGATGTTACCCAAAGGATACAACATTTCAGTTAAAGAAGAGGAATAAGTTGAAGAGCTCTATTGTCCATCATGGTGATGATAGTTAAGAACAATATATCGTATGCTTAAAAATCACAAAGAGCATAGATTGTAAATGTTCTCATTACAAAAAAAAATTTCAAGTATGTGAGGTAATGCATATATGTTAATTCACTCAATTTAGCCATTCCACAATGCATGCGTATATCAAAACATATATGAAATCAACCTAAGTATCCACAGATGGATGGATGAATGGATAAAGAAAATGTGGTATATATACACAATGGAATACTATTCAGCCATAAAAGAAATGTAATCCTGTCATTTGCAATAACGTGAATGAACCTGAAGGACACCATGTTAAGTGAAATAAATCAGATGCGGAAAAACAAATACTGCATGATCTCACTGATATGTGGAATCTAAAAAATAATAATGATAATAATAAAGTTGATATAGAAGCAGAGAATATAACAGTGGTTTACCAGAGACTGGGGGAGTAAGTGGGGAAAGGAGGATGGGGAGAGGTTGGTCAACGGGTACAACGATACAATTAGAAGGAATAATTTCGGTGTTCTATTACACAGTAGAATGACTGTATTTAACAGGAAAATATTGTATTTTACAAAATAGCTAGAAGAGAGGCTTTTGAAGATTCTCACCACAAAGTAATGATAAATGCATGAGGTGATGGATACACTAACTAACCTAATTGTATCATACAGCATACACTTATATCAAAACATCAAATTATACTCCATAGATATGTACAATTATAATGCATCAATTTAAAAAATAAGTAATTTTTAAAACATCATATTGTGTAACATAAATACTGTATATATAATTTTTATTTGTCAAATAAAAATAAGATTTTTTTTCTGAATTGAAAAAAAATAGGTGTGTTCCAAATGTTTCCTTGGGGTTGACCATGGGCCCAAGAAAAGATGATGAAACTCTTCCTTATTCAGTTTCCTATTATATATGGCCATTTTTGCCCAGAACTCCGTATAATTCTATTAGCACTAGATTTAAGCTATTCATCGATTAAATAGGCTTTTGTGGGTTTGCCTGGGAAACTGACCAGCATACATAATTTTCTTTCCACGGGAAAATAAGTTTTGACATCGTTGAATTACATGCTTTCGAGGGAAGAGTCTCTGTCTCTTTCGTCTTTGTGACTCCAACACTTAGAACAGTGCTACACACATAGGAAGGACTCAATAAAAGCATATTGACAGCCTTTACGGTATTTCTAAAGTTGATGTTTGACCCAGTCCTGCTTACCAGCTTATTGTTCCTGAATAGAAAATAAATCACTGTGAAACAGAAAGAGAATGTCAGAAAATTGCAAAGCCCTCTTTAAGAGCAGCAGTGTGTCTCTTATTCATTGTATGCCCCTGATGGACCAAGCATCAAGAAGATAGTGTTAATGGAGCCTAGATCTTAAGTTTCAATGAGTTTAACTAAAACTCACTAAAGGGAAAATCTGCTCTGGTGTTGTATGGGGGTTTCTGAACAGTCATACTAGGAGTCTCAGAAATATTTGCTATTAGAAGAGATTGTGAGGCTGGGCGCAGTGGCTCACGCCTATAATCCCAGCACTTTGGGAGGCTGAGGTGGGCAGATCACCTGAGGTCAGGAGTTTGAGACTAGTCTGGCCAACATGGTGAAACCCTGTCTCTACTAAAAATACAAAAATTAGCCGGGGGTGGTGGTGCACCTATAGTCCCAGCTACTCGGGAGGCTAAGGTGGGAGAATCGCTTGAACCCAGGAGGCTGAGGTTGCAGTGAGACAACATCACCGCACTGTGCTATAGTCTGGGTGATAGAGCAAGATTCTGTCTCAAAAAAAAAAATGGAAGAGATTGTGGGTATAACAAAAAGGTGATCCTGTGAAAACAGCAACCAGAGACATATGTATGCTAAATACTTTCAGATTATAATGGGCCTTTTCTGCAGTTGTTTCCTTGTGAATTTTCAAGTCTCTCCCAAAGCCACCGCAGATGAAGAGCAACCCCAAAGCCCACCTCCCAGGTCCCAGACAGACCATACCCATGGTTGATTTGGAATATGTAACAATTTACCTGATCTAATGCCAAGAAGGACTAATCAGAATCCTCAACCAGAAGTAGGCTTTGGCTGTCTCATTCACTATACTGTGCCTAGCACATGGAACAGTGCCTGGCATATAGTGGCAAAATAAATATTCATTGATCACATACATAAAATAGTTTCCCAACTCATTGACTGATGCTAGAAAATCCATGACTGGAAATGCATTCTTTAAGACACAAATCTCCCTAGAAGAAAGAAGACTTCTGGTATCACAGGTAAAAAGATTTGTACTCATCATACTCTTCAGTCCAGTGCACATGATCATTGTTCCATACAAGTTTCTGTGTGTGTGTGTGCACACGTGCGTGGGTGTGATCCTACCCTCATCATTCTCCTTCCCTCCCCACTAAACACCTACCACCACCTCTACCATTGCCATAGGTCATGGCTCTAATGTTTCATGTGTATTTCTGAATATCGATGCATCCCTGTGCAAAAAGAAGTGTTGTTTAGTGTGTGTAGGTATTTTTATTTTACAGGAATGGCTCTCTTTCTTACCTTTTTACTGAGCATGATGTCTTACCATCTGTCCATGTTTCTTTGTGTAGCCTCTGCTTGTAATGTGACATTCCAGAGTGTGTACCGACCACATCTTACTTATTCATTCTCCAACAGTGGGCACCTGAACTGCCTCCAATTGCCCAGACCACAGACATTGTAGCTCTAAACACCCTTAACCAAGTCATTTTTATGGTATTTTTTGAGAGTATTTTTGACATAATTTTTGAAGTATGTCCACTAAGTCATAAGGATAAGTTTATTAGCATTTACTAAATATTGCCAGATTGCTCTCCAGAAAGAGTGTTAATCTACTCTCACACCAGCAAATAAAGCTTCCTCTGTTTCCTTAAATCCCCCTCCACACTTCGTATGATCCAGCTTTAACTTGGCCAGGCTTTGGAGGTTTAAAATGGTATCTATCTTGTTACTGTTTTAATTTACATTTTTCTTCATACACTAGTAGCCACTCGGGTTTCCACCTTTTATACATTGGTTACTTACATTAGTCACTCATTTTTCTAGCGGGCTTTGCTCTTTTTCTGTTGTTGATTTGTAAGAGTTCCCTGTATATTTTTGGTTGTAGCCATAACAAACTCTCCTCCTTTTGTTTTGTTTTTGTTTTTGTTTTTTTTGAGACGGAGTCTCGCTCTGTCACCCAAGCTGGAGGGCAGTGGTGCAATCTCAGCTCACTGCAACCTCCACCTCCTCAGTTCAAGCAACTCTCCCACCTCAATCTCCCAAGTAGCTGGGATTACAGGCATCCGCCACCATGCCTGGCTAATTTTTAGTAGAGATGGGGTTTCATCATATTGGCCAAGCTGGTCTCGAACTCCTGACCTCAAGAGATCCACCCACCTTGGCCTCCCAAAGTGCTGGATTACAGGCATGAGCCACCACACCTGACCTTCTCCCAATTTTTTATCTGTCAATTCACTTTGTTTATTTGGCCTTTGTTGAACAGCAAGACTTAATTTGGATGTCATCTAAGACATTATTTATAATTATATGATTTGCACTTTTCAAGGTTTGTTTGAAAAGCCTCTCTCCATCCCAAGGTCACAAAGACATTCTTCTATCTCGTCTTCTATTTATTCTATGGCTTAACCTTTCACAATCAGGTCTTTAATGCATTTTTGTATGTGATGAAAGGTAAGAAATCCAACTTTATTCTTCTCCACATAGTGAGCCAGTTTTCCCAACATAGTCCACTAAACAATGTCTTTTATCATATGTGAATTTCCCATACATAGAAATATATATCTGAGTCCTCTTTTTTGTTCCATTGGTTTATTTATTTTTCTTTTTGTTCTTAAGCCAGTCATTACTGAAGAGTGTCTTTAAAACTGAACAGGAAATTTTACGTTTTTTGCTCTACTTTTTCAGGGCTGACTTAGCTATTCGTGGACTTTTCATATATATTTTATATAAAGCTTATGATAAATTTGTCAAGTTCCTGGAAAAATATGGCAGAAATTTTTACTAGGTTTTTATTTAATGTAAAGACCAGTTTAAGGAGAATTAACATCTTTGTAATGTGAACTCATTACATCCAAGAGTATCGACCATGTCTCTGCCAAAGACCTTCTTTTATACCCTTTTGCTAGTCTTTCAAAAATTTTTTCACTGAGGTCTTGTGTATAAGATTTAATTCCTACTTACTTCATGGGAGAAGTAAGATGCGAAGCTGTTATTAGTCACATTTACCTTGGTGTGAATAAGTACCCAGCTGGCTTGGAGAAAGGGATTATTCAATTACTCATCTCCTGAGAACACGAAGAGCAAGTGATTCACAGCCAGTGAGGAGAAGAGGTTAGAGGTACAGCAAAAAACAAAAGCTAGAGACTGGGGTTTTCAAACATAAACTGCATTTACTTCCCACTTCTGCTCTAAGGTAACCCTGGTGGTACCCAGAGTAACTTCCTACCAGTCCCACCTCACCTGCCACAATCTGCCCACAAAGACACTTGTCAACCATAGCCACCTTTCCCTTCTTCCTGGGGACTGAGTCTTCTCAGTCAGTATTATATCTCATCTTAAAGAGAAGACTCTATCCACAGGAATGTGTCATAATGTAAACGAGCATGTTTTTCTCCCTACTAATGCTAAGTACTGAAATCAACTTAAAAGATAGAGGAAGGCAACATTTATGGAAATTCTTCACTACTCTAGTGCAAACAGAATTTGATATTAGCTTCCTAACATCTGCCCTCTACTGTCATAGATTTTTTGAAGACCACAGGTACATCCCAGTCTCTCTTTTCATTTATTATTTTGGCGAGTAAATAGGTGTAAAGAGTCATAACCCACACTTGCTTCTGCCACCAGAGATTCAAAACACAATTAATTTACTAATATCGGTGAATATTTTATCCCAGTTCTCTAATCAGTTTTAGAGTTATTAACATTTTTCACATTTTGCAGACGCTACATATTATTTTAAAACATAACTTTTAAAAATTCATATTCAAAACTCCGTGATTCTTGGTGTTGTCTTACCAGATCCTCTCAGCCTTTGATGGGAACATTGTGGGCCAAGTAAACTAAACATTTGCTACACCCTCACGACCCTGTTAAACTTTTAAAAATATGAACCACAGGGTATATATTTGTTCAGTCTTAGTGGATAATGCAGAACTGTTTTCTAAAATGGTTTTTCCAATTTGTACTCTTTAGAGTAGCATATGAGAGTTTCATTTTCTATAAATGCTTGCCAACAATTGGTATTGTCTGTCCAAACACAGTTCCAAAGCCTGGGTGATTTGGTTTTAAAATATCACAAATATCAATCCTGAGAAAATGCCCCTTTTTCCTTTTCTTTGTCACTGTTCTAATTCAGCGGCTGCATGTGTACTATAAATAGGGTAAATTATCCCAAATTTGGGTTAGTTGGACAAGATGTCGCTCTGAATCAGGGCAGATCTGAAATGTAGCCTGTTGCAAAAGAGGTGCAATCTTGTTATTCCTTTCATATTCTTACAACCAAATAAACGAAGATAATAATATTTCAACCTGTTTAACAAATATCTGTTTTGTTGCTGTTGGAATATTTTGCCAAATAAGGAATCTTGGCTCCACATTTCTTACTTCTAAAAAAATACAAAAATAGCATTAATTATATTGTAGTAACCTCAGGATTAATCTGAAATGGACTTGCTTTTGAAAGAAAAGATTAAATGTACATAAATGCTGATTAGAGAATTAGAATTTAAACTGTATTCATATTAGTTAGTTAACATGCCTTTAGAGAAAGTAAAAGTACTCAAATGAGTTGGCAGGGGCAAGCAATTAAATATAAGAACCAAATAGAAATAGTGCATAGACTATTTGACAGGCTGGAAAAGGAAAGAGTTACAATAAATAATGTAGTCATAGACAAGTGGAATCATCCATTAAAAGGCACAGTTTGTGAATGCATGAGTATGAGAGGAAATATCTGAGCGAGGTCTGCCCAGGAAATGGAGCAGAGACAAAAAGCTACACACAAGGTGCTGCATGAGAGAAAGGGGGCAATGTGCTTTATTCCTTCATTTTCTCATTCATTCATTCACTGTAACATCAGCTCCACAAAAGCAAAGAGTTTGTATACCCGGAACAGTCCCTGGCACATCATAGACCCTCAGTAAGTTCTATGGATGACTGAATGAATTATAAGCACAGATGACCAAATGATTGTTACAGTAAATATCTTTGACTATTCCATTTACTAAGCTCCTACCATTCAGCAGGCATGGAATATAGTAAGCGTTCAGGAAACACCAGCTATTAACTACAAGGAGCTTCTTCATGAACAACATATGTAGCAACTGAGAGAAAGACATGGAAATAGTAATGAGTGAACCACGAGTCAGGAAATAGAGATTCTGCAACTTAGCTAGATGTTTTACCTTGCACAAGTCAAATCTCTTCAATGAATTAATGAGTCTTGTTCTTGACTTAAAATCTTAGCATGAGTCTCCTTTTGCCTTCATCCTGTATGGTCAAACTGTCCTAAACCCTCCTGTGTCTTCCTTTGAAATATCTCTTTATGTAGAATCTTTTCCTCTTTCAATCAATAAATATCTACTGACACTTTCTATTTTTGGAACCACTACGAGTGAGTTGTTGTCAAAAATAATCCCAGAAAGATATTTGTAATACATCTAATAAAGGACTCAAATCCAGAATTTATAGAGTTCTTGCAAATCAATAAAAGACCACCCAGGAGAAAAAAAAATGGACAAAAGCTTGAACAGGCACTTTGCAAAAGAGATCCAATAAACACATGAAAGGGGTTTGACTTTACTAGGCAAAGGGAAATGCAGAATTAAAACCACACACCCACCAGAATGACTAAAATGAAAAAGACAGACAATACCAATTGTTGGCAAGCATTTAGAGCAAATGAAACTCTCATATGCTACTCTAAAGAGTATAAATTGGAAAAACCATTTTAGAAAACTGTTCTGCATTATCTACTAAGGCTGAACAAATACATACCCTGTGATTCAACTATTCAGTTTCTAGCCACATACCCAACAGAAATGAGCTTGTTTACCAAGAGATATGTAAGGAAATATGCATAACAACATTATTCATAATTGCCCCACACTGAAAAATTCAGAATGGATAAAGTGCAATATAGTTACATATTGGAATACTATACAGCAATAACAGTATACATTATATTGCTACATGTAACTACAAAGGAATAAATCCCATGAAAAAATGCCGAGCAAAAGAAACCAAATACAGAAAAATACAAGTAATATCATTTCTTTCATATAAAATTCAAAAAACAGGCAAAACTGGTCTAATACATTGGAAGTCAGAAGAGTAGTTACTTTAAGGGGTGCTGAGACACTGGAATGGGACTTTTGGGATGCTGGTAATGTTTTTCTCTATCTGGCTGACTGTATGCGTGTGTTTATATTGTGAAAATTTATTGAATTATGCATTTATGATTTATTCACTTTTCTATATGTATTTTGTAATTTACTGAAAATGTTCTTAAAGTCATTATTCCTCAGAATCAGTTAAATCTTGTCAATTCTCATCTTGTCCCAATGTTCTCGAATTCGGGTAATAACTTCCAGGGCTTCCTTCCTCTGCTCAGTTCTGTACCTCCCAGGAGGTGGCCATGTTGGCCTTTGCTATCTGTTCAGGCCTCTCCTCTTAATTTGTGGACAAAACCCAGGACATAATTACTGATTCCTAGAACTGACCATTCACACTCTAGATTTAATCTCTGTCCTTCTTTAATGTTACCAAGCATGACAATTCCTACTTTTCTATTCTGAATGCTCAATGCAATAAAGATTGTTGAATATCTGCCATGGGCCTGGTACTGTCTTTGACTTTGGGGCATATAAAATGACTGAGACATAGCCCTGTCCTCAAGGAACTTCAGAATACAATTCATACTGTAACATTTTCAATTCAACTGCTATGTCTCAGGCACTGGGCTGGACACTAGGGATGCAAGATGAAAAAGACATGTTTCTTGCTCTTGGAGCACTCAGAGTATAGTGGAGATGACAATTATTCAAAGAAGAAAAATAACAATTCTATGTAGTATTTATTGCCCCACAAATATGAGTTAACTTTAAATGAATAAAACATCTTTACAATGAAATTACAGCCACTGCAATAGAGATCCGATGGTTGATACTGAAAACTCATTCAAGACTTTAAGAAGGATGCTGGATTTGAGTAACATTTTAAATATTATTAGTACTTGGGCCAGTTGAAAGAATGGAAGAAGAACTATCCAAGAAGAGGAAGCAGCAGAAAAATAAAACTTGAACATGGGAACATAGTTCAAGATAAAGAAATGACTCTTTGGATTAGAATGGAATGTACATGTTGGGAAGTGATGGCAAAGAAGGGAAGGGAGGGAGGGTGGAAACAGCTTATGAGCATCTTTGAATACCAGCCAGATAGTCTGCACTTGATATGAAGGGCAGTAGAGACCTGTTGTGGGCAGTTAAGCATGGAAGGAACCTGCAAAAAGCAACAATCTAAGCAGAGAGCCAGAGAGTTATGAATTGGGGAGGCAGAAATTGGCATCAGTGAGACCTGCTAGGAGGCTTCTGACACCAGTGGCGGGGGTAATTTAGTACCGTTAGTGAGATAAGAAGCAATGATGACTATGACCAGTATCTAAAAACACTTGAGCCACCAGTGGGTAAGATTTAGACTTAAAACTAATTTATGACTATGACAAAATATTTTCTCAAAACTTTCATTCAGGCAATTCAGTAGAAAAACAAAGTCAACTATTTTTAAATGTTTTAAGGACTAGTGATTCTTAAAGAGTGGTCCCGTACTGTACTTGTGATCAGTCAGAAAGATCTGGCAAATAATTGGCATATCCAGAATGGAAAGCTGGCATAAGGTCCCTGAGAAAGGTGCAGCCACTTAGGAGAAAAAGACAAATGGAATAAGAACTGTCTACTTTGAGGGGAATTTAAGCCGTATTCAAACACCTCAGGCAGAATCGCCAAACTGCTGTTGCCACTGATCATATCTGCAGGTGCCCAAATGCTTCTCAATGACTTTCTCCTCTTCATTGATTCATGGGCCCAAGAGAAATAAAGCAGTGGCCCAAAGGTCCCATCCTGTCCCCAGATGTGACTTCCCCTGCCCTATTCCAGTTGAAATAATAGGCAGGGGAACCAACAAAAGCAGAGGTCAAATACTACTTCCCCTATGGAAAGGGGTGGAGTAGTGATGAGAATGGGAGTGTGGGGTGGGTGTAAATGTGGGGTAGAGTGTAAGGTGTCTGTGGAAAGAGACAAAGGGAGTCAGTGGGTCATAGATCTTTGCCCTCATAGAGACAGCTGAGGCACCTAATCCAGAAAACTGCTAGCGAAAATAAAACAATAAGTGGGTTGGCCAAGACTGTTTGCTTTCATCTAGTTATTTCGATGACTTCTCGACACAGCCTTAGCAAAATCATGCATTGAGTAAGACCAAAAATTTTCTATTCCTCATCAGAAACTCAGACAACAAGGGAGGCCAGTGAGTAATGAGAACTGATTTCTTTGGCTTCAGTGCCTGCTCCTCGCACCTCCACACACCGCCCACAGAGAGAGGACATGGAAAGGTGATTTATGCTGAATCTGCAAGGTAAGACTTTATCCAAAAAGGTCAAGGAAATGACCAGAGATGTTCTTGCTTGGGGAAGATTTTCGGCACGATCTCTCTCTCTCTCTCTCTCTCTCTCTCACTCTAACAGCCCACTGTTGGTCTCTTCTCCCAATTCCCAATCCTCCAGCCTCACTAGAATGTCTCTTTTCAGGTTCTGTATGAGTTGAGTAAAAATTCTTCATGCTTGGCATCATCTTGGTCTCTGAATCTTGTTTGTTCTTATCACCACTTAAAAATTTTCAGGCTCTTCTCAGCCAGTTATGAAAACATACTCCTGCTGAGCTTTCTGGAACTTCATCAGTTTTTCAGGACTGAAAAAAAGAAAGACAGAAGTTAGGTGATGTCATTCTAGTTTCTGTTGGAAGAAAATGAGATGGTTTACCTATGGGCACAGCTATGACTGGCTGCATCACACGCTTTCTAGTCTTCCCTACATTTTCTCCACTATAACCAAGGTCTATTATCTGCATTTCTAAATAACTATTACCTGCACTTAAGACTGCCTTGAAGCCAGCTGCAGTGGCTCACATCTGTAATCCCAGCACTTTGGGAGGCCAAGGCAGGCAGATTGTTTGAACTCAGGAGATCAAGACCAGCCTGGGCAACATGGTGAACCCTGTCTGTACAAAAAATACAAAAAAATTAACTGGGTGTGATGGCTCACTCCTGTAGTCCCAGCTACTCGGGAGGCTTGGGTGGGAGGATTGCTTGAGCCCAGGATGCAGAGGTGGCAGTGAGCCAAGATCACACCACTGCACTCCAGCCTGGGTGACAGAGCGAGACCCTGTCTCAAAAAAAAAAAGACACAACAACAACAACAACAAAACTGCCTTGGAGCAAAACCATGGAATGAAACAAGCATGACTTGGGGACCTTCATCTCTTCCTTTCTACCTTCTTTCACTCACCCTTTTCTCTCTCCTTCTTCTCAGCCTCCACCTTCTACCCTAGTCTATTTAATAGATCACACTGTCACAAACCATAAAACTAATACATCCATAATTTTCAAGCTGTTCCCTAGATTTTATCTCATTTCATCTTCATAGTAACCCATCAAATTCTGTTATTCCAGTTCTACAGATAAGAAATATGAGACTCTGAAAGATGAAATAACTTTCTCCAAGTCACATGGCCATAAAATGACAAATCCAGGATGAATGCAGGGCTTTTTCCATTCACCATGCTATCTCAGAGTGAAGTGTCAAGCTAAATGCATCTCTACTTGCTGGATTTCGGCTATTAGGGATCCAAGCAAGGGATATACTTGGTCATTAAAAGAGACTTTTCTGGGCCCGATGCAGTGGCTCACTCCTGTAATCTGAGCACTTTGGGAGGCCGAGGCAGGAAGATCACTTGAGGTCAGGAGGTTGAGACCAGCCTGGGCAACATGGTGAAACTCCGTCTCTACTAAAAATACAAAAATTAGCTGGGCATGGTGGTGGGTGACTGTAATCCCAGCTACTTGGGAGGCTGAGGCAGGATAATTGCTTGAACCCAGTAGATGGAGGTTGCAATGAACCAAGATCATGCTACTGCACTCCAGCCTAGGCAATGGAGCGAGACTCCATCTCAAAAAAAAAAAAAAAAAAAAAAACAAAACTTTTCTGGAATCCATAAAACTATACCACTTCCTAACTAAAGCATACAGGACCTTGTGTTTGCTCCTATCGTGGTCATGTAAATCTGAATTAAAATGCCCAGGTTACTTTTCTATCTCCCTGACTAGATGGCCAGTTCCATTAGGGCAGGAAACAAGACAGGTCAGATTTTTCTGGCTTCTTTCTGTAATTCCAGTAAATACCACTGTTTCTCTCTCTCTTTCTCTCTCTCTCTCTCTCTCTCTCTCTCTCTCTCTCATACACACACACACACACACACACACACACAACACCAATTTATATTTGACCTGGGGATGGCCTGGGGTAAAATAAAAAGAACATCAAGTAAGAATAGGGCTACCCTACAAAACTTCCCATAAATTACATGATTATTCAAGCAGAACGTGGGGAGGAGGTGTATAGAAAATTTCCCCCTCACTTTAGAAACCGAGGTTGGGAGAATTACTGAAATGGTGTCAAGAAAGAAGAAAGAGAGTACATGTGGGACCAAGGGAGAAGGAGGGGCAAACTGCCCACTTCCTCATGTTGTGAAGGATAAAGCCTGCCCTCATGACATCAGCAGCCTCTTTGTGCTTTATTCTTTAGGCTAAAGTCGGGCCTGGGAGACCCACTCAAGGAAGGTTGGGTCATGAAGGCCGATGCCTGTGTGTCTCAAGAGAGTTGTCCAGTTCTCCCTAACACAGCTGGCATAGATGCCTCAGGGTGACCCAATGACAATGACTACCAAGTTCACCACTGAGCAGCTCCATCCACCTCAGTTGCAGGTCCATCTTGAGGGCACTCTAGATGCAAAACCAGGCCCATCTTCTTTATTAGACCTGTTCTCCTCTTGTTGTTTCGCCAGCCCTGGTTGCCCTCATTTGACTCCCAGGCTATCCAGGGTCTCCAGTGTTTCTCCCATGGAGGCACAACCTCCATAGAAGCACCTCATGCTCTGAATGGTACATCCTGCCCAAACTTATAAAAATTTACCTGGCCTGTGTTGCCACTACCCAAGGGGGCACCAGATCACTGAGACTATAACGGCCAACTAATGCATACCTAGGCATTAATCGCTAGAAAATCTTAAATGCAGATAGGTATTTCTGCAAGATCCTTTAACATCTTAGCCCCCTCCCAAAAAAAAAAACTAATAAAAAATGTAGACAAAATGGTTGTAAAGATTTTGGATAAGGCTGGGTGCAGTGGCTCATGTCTGTAATCCCAGCACTTTGGGAGAGCGAGGCAGGCAGATCACGAGGTCAAGAGATCGAGACCATCCTGGCCAACATGATGAAACCCCATCTCTACTAAAAATACAAAAAATTATCTGGGCGCGGTGCTGCGTGCCTGTAGCCCCAGCTACTCAGGAGGCTGAGGCAGGAGAATTGCTTGAACCTGGGAGGCGGAGGTTGCAGTGAGCCAAGATCATGCCATTGCACTCCATCTTGGCAACAGAGTGAGATTCTGCCTAAAAAAAAAAAAAGATTTTGGATAAGTATCTCTTAGCAACTTCTTGTGCCTCTTACACATATGCATTAGGCTCAACCCTATCCTGACCCTCTGACTTTCTCATAACATTAAAATTTCTGTAACCTCTTTGGAAATATTTGTGGTTTATTGCATTCATTGCTATTGAGAAAGAGCAGAAAGTGCTTTTGATATTTTTGTATATGACCCAAGAACAGAAAATTGCAGTAAAATTGCATCAGGTTGATTTCTGGGACATTACTGCGTACTTACTGCCAGGTATCCATGAGCTCCCCCGACCGAGATGTCCAGAAAACCTCTTTCAGAGACCCTCTCCGAAAGCATGTTCTAAAGTCATGTTCACCTGTGGGATTCCCCTGTATCGCCCTGGTGGTTTAGTATTCTCGACAATGACTTATAAACTGAGGAGGATTGGGGGAAAGAAGTGGATGCTAGCATCACTTTACCTCAAGAGCCACAAAGGCTTCCTTCTTTCATTTCTTTGTACCCACTGATGGAACCTAAACTTTACCTTGATCTTTTGAGATAATCCACCTTCCTAGATGTCTACACTTATTACACTGTATTGCTAGGCAACTTATTTCATAATTTATTAGTGAAACCACAGTTAATCTGGTGAAAACTTTATTCATCATAATAAATTAAAAGATCTGACTTTCTAAATGGAAGTTCTGTTCAGAAATCCTGATCTATCTGCAAAGAACCTTCCCATGAACTTACCAAAAGCCACCTCTCCCTACAAGTTAGTCTCTCAAAAGAACTTTTATTGCGTTTAACTGTGTACCCAGTCCTGTGCTCATCCTCTTTATGTAGGAGGAAAGAAACAGGGAAAAGTTCCTCATCTTGTAATCAAATTAGTGCCGTCAAACACAAAGGAGTGGTAATTCGGGAGCACTAAAGTGACAAACAGTGTTGACAACAAGTATAATAGAACTTCAGAGCAGGGGAGAAACATACACATGTGCAAATTTCTTGTTAGAAACCCCTCTTTGTTTCAAAATCTTCCTTTTTCTATTTTTATTACAGAAGAGAAAGAATTTTGCTCTTCAGGGTCCCAAATGAAGCTAAAGGGTTATCATTGCCCATTCACAATTTCTGCTCTGAGAGACAGTAATAAAAGGAATCAGGATAAATGTAATAATATTTTGGTTAATGGTTGGTTACACTTTGGAATAACAATCCTTCTGGCTGCAGAGATTCAGACAAAAACAGGCACCCCCAGATGTCCAAGCACCAAACACAGTGAAAAAGCCAAGATCATTTAAAATTGGAGAGTTTGTTTTGGCAGAGAGTGGAAGCAGTACTAAGTAAGAACTGTACACTACTTTGAGCTGTCAACAGAGAATTAATAAAAAGTGAAAACCTGTTGGCTGGTGACAGTAGTAAAACTGCATGCATTTGTCCAAACTCATAGAACTGCATGCCTAAAAAGGGTGAATTTTACTATAGCAAATTATACCTCAATAAACCTGATGAATAGAAGGAAGGAAAGATTTGACTAGAATTGTTCTCTTGTGTCCTAAAATATCCATCTAATTGTGAATGAAAAATCAAAATGGGCCCTAATCGGAGAAGGTATTTATCCTCAATTTGTCCAGTTTCAAGACAACAGTTTTCTCCTAATTAGAACTGCTGCACAATGGAATGGAAGGGACTGTCTTATAAGGGAACAGACTTCCTGCACTAGAATTTGACTATTGCTTCTATAGAACTTACTCTGCTAGGTGACTTACATAGTGCATTTGTTATCCTCACCATAATCCTGGAAGGAGGGTATTTTAGAGATGAGGAAACTGAGACGGTGAGGGTTTCTGTGACTGCCATTCGATGGTAGAACAGAATGTCTTCATGCACTTAGGAGCTATTGACTGAGTTCCTGCCAAGTGTCAATTACTCTGCTGGCTGTGGCAGTTACAACTGCAAAAGATATGGCCCTGTCCTCACAGAGAATATAATCCCTCTAAAGGCCAAAAAAAAAAAAAAAACAAAAGGCCATCATCCTACACTGTGTCAAGTGCTATGACTGTGAACCACAAGGAACCACGCAGAAGGGGTACTTACCCAAGGCTAGGCAGATATGAATGGCTTTCTTGAAAAAGCAGCATCTAAGCTGAGACCTGATAGATAAATGAGGAGTTAATGAGGTGGCCAGCATTGGAAGTGAGGTGGGGTGGCAGGGAAGAGTGAGGAGGTGTGAGTTGTGAGTAGAAGAGATAACATGTGGGAAGGCCTGGAGTTAAGAAGGAAAATGGTGTGTTCCAATGACCGAGGCAAGTTCTGTATGACCACAGTGCAACAGGAAGAGTTGCAAGAAATCTTCTCCAGACGTACTCATGGCTCACTCCCTCACCTCCTTCAAGAGTTAGCTGCAAGTCTCCTTCTCGGTGAGGCCTCCTGTAATTACCCTGGCAACAGCCAGCACCACCCAACATAAACCTTCCCTATTTTCTTTTTGTATTAGTTACCTATCACTGTCTAACAAATTGCCCCAAAACTCAGCAGATTAAAACAAAGAACATTTGTCATCTCATATCATTTCTAAGGAATCTGGCTCAGGGTCACGCATGACATTGTAGTCAAGAGTTGGCCAAGGATGCAGTCATCTGCAGGCTTGACAGGGGCTGGGGAATCCACTTCCAAGAAAGTTCACTCAGATGGCTGCTGTCTGTGGCCTCAATTTCTCATCACACAGGGCTGTCTCTATAGGGCTGCTCATAACGTGGCAGCTAACATCTCCCAGAGAGTGTGATCTAAGAGAGAGAAGAGGAAGACATAGTGCTTTCTGTGGCCTAAGCTCCAGAGTCGCACATCATTGCTTCTGATTTATTTCATTCATTTGAAGTGAGCCACTAAGTCCAGCCCAAACTAGAGGGAAAAGGATTTAGGCTCAACCTCTTGGAGGGAGAAGTATCAAAGAATGTGTGCCTGTATTTAAAATCACTACATTTTCCATGCTTTATTTTTCCCCATGGGATTCATTACTACCTGACACAACATGTTTTATTTATTTGTTTACTGTGTTTCTTTCTTTTTCTTTCTTTTTTTTTTTTTTGAGATGGAATCTCCCTCTGTTGCTCAGGCTGGAATGCAGTGGCACAATCTCGGCTCACTGCAACCTCTGCCTCCCGGGTTGAAGCGATTCTCCTGCCTCAGCTTCCCAAGTAGTTGGGACTACAGGTGTGTGCCACCACGCCTGGCTAATTTTGTTGTATTTTTAGTAGAGACGGGGTTTCACCATGTTAGCCAGGCTAGTCGCAAACTCCTGACCTCAGGCAATCCACCCGCCTTGGCCTCCCAAAGTGCTGGGATTACAAGCATGAGCCACTGTGCCCAGCCTGTTTACTGTGTTTCTTAGACCGCTGGAATGAAAGCTCCAAGAGGATTTTGTCTGTTTCATTTATTGTTGTGTATTTTCAATTCCCAAAATAGTGCCTGGTACACTGTAAGCACTCACTAAATATTTGATGCATGGGTTGATAAAGGAATTAGTAAGCAAATTGATGAATACTTAAAAACAAAATTGGAGATGTAAGTAGAGGCCAGACTGCGCAAGGCCTCCTGAAGCACGTCAAGGAGTTTGAACTTTGCCCTGTGAGCGTGGGAAGCTGTCAGAAAGTTTTAAACAGGAGTCTGGCAGTCGTGGATGTTGCAGAGGGATTCTTGCATCAGTTGGGCGTTTGAACTCCTTTCCTGAGGTCCTTTCTGACTCAGAGTGTGGCCCCTATGACAGTGGCACAAGCCCACATTAGCTTCACTGCTGGAGGCGCTCCCCATAGCAACCCCCAGAGTCTCACCCATTGTCGAAGTAGCCTCATAACCTGGAAATTACTAGCTGCACGTAATTGACAAATTTTAGCTTTTGGGAAATCATTACTCACTGAATTATAAATGTCTAAGATTTTACAGTATAATCATATGCTTATAGAATAACTTATCCCCACACATTTAAACAAAAGATACATGCTAGACTTGGCTACTTCTGAGGATGTTGCGCAGTCTCTTTTTTAAAAATTGGTAACATTTGCTTGGACAAGGGACCAAGCTAGAAAACATTCTTCCAGTGTCACAGGAAACCAAAATAATGGCAGTAACAATAGTTAACCAAATTGTTAACTGATTGGTTTAGACAGCATTTCCACTCTGAAGATGTAGAAAAGCAAAACAGCCCCCAGGATAAAGCTATAAATAAAATTTTTCCCGGAGTTTTCTGCCCTTTTTTTGCATAGCAAAACCAGAAATAAGTAATGTTAAAAGTGAAGGTCCACTATAATCATAACTTCCAGAAAAACAAAAAAAAAAACCCACTATTAAACAGCCAAGTGCATATTCTTTCTTTCCATTTTTTCTAAGCTATGCTAACTGGATTATTCTTGTTTTACAAAAATGGGGTCATGCTATGCATATTATTTTGTAGTTGTCTTTTTGTGTTTTATTTTTCAAGTTTCTGCTTAAATCAACTATGCTTTAAAAAAAAAAAGTCCTACTTAAACCTGCTTGCAACCATGTTTTAAACAACTGTACCACAAAGAAGAAATATTTTCTTTCCTTGGTGGCTTCAGATTGTCACCAAACGTCACTGGGCATTCAAGTCCTCCGACCGTATGGTTAGCTTTGCCAGGAGGAAAGAAGAATATCTAGAAATTAAAACATAAGTCAAAAAGATGTAGCACACCATTTTTTCCATGAAAAAAAAATTAGTGACATAGGAACATTTTGCATCATGCATTATGCAAACATTATGCAAAAGGTAACTTGTTGCCTAACTTAAAGCTATTTGAAATTTTCTTAACTGCTATGGATGGTTGTTGCTGAAACTCAGAGGATGAGGGAAAGCATAGCTAAGCTTAGATATGTCTCTGAAGGCATAGGAAAGGGAGAATATCTCTAAGATCCCAGTAATTTGTTTTTTCCTGGGAATGCAGCCCTTGATGGCATCAGAAGATGCCATCACAAGTGATCCTGTCCATTGGTCAATGGTATGACTTGTGATGCTGCCATTGGTCAATCAAATATATACCAGGTCAACAATGCCCATGGTCAACACCTTCAAAATTGTGAGTTCATACAGTCATTCAACAAACATCTATACCTCACCTCCTCCATGCTGGCTCCTAGGCCATGCTCTGAGTATTATACACAGTTCCTGCCTTTAAGGTGTTTAAATTGCACAGTATGCAAAGTCAGAGGCAGAGTTCTCTGAAAGTAGAGGACATAATCCAAACTAGAAATTCTCTGAGCCAAGTCATAAAGAAAATAGACAATTCGGCCGGGTGCAGTGGCTCACGCCTGTAATCCCAGCACTTTGGGAGGCCGAGGCAGGCAGATCACCTGAGGTCAGGAGTTCAAGACCAGCCTGGTCAACATGGCTAAACCCCATCTCTACCAAAAATATGAAAAATCAGCCGGGTATGGTGGCTTATATCTGTAGTCTTAGCTACTTGGGAGGCTGAGACACAAGAATCACTTGAACCCAGGAGGCAGAGGTTGCAGTGAGCTGACATCACGCCACTGCACTCCAGCCTGGGTGACACAGTGGGACACCATCTCAAAAAAGAAAAAGAAAAGAAAAGAAAAAAGAAAATATACAATTCACCCAGCCCAAAAAGAAAGAACATACACAATTCCACCTTTGAAGATCTGTGAATAGTTAGATGAGGCTGAAAGACTTATACGAAAGGGAGAAGTAGAGAGAGAGACAAAACCGGAGAGAAAAGCATGAAGGGTTCTGTAATGCTTGTGAGCTTACACTATCCTACTGACCATGGCAAGACACTAAAGGATTAAGATGGAATGAACTGGGGAGATCCCATTTGTTCCTTATGAGCAGCACTCTGATGAGAATAAGGAGAATCATTTTAGCAAGATTGGAGGTAGAGAAACAAGTTAGGAGCTGGGTGCACTGACAGGAAGATAGTGATCTGATGTGGCCAATTGGGGTGGAGAGAAAGGTGATGGGTACAAAATATATTATTAGGATAGCTCTAGGGTAAATAGAATTTAAAGATAGACACTATGTGTAGATAGAAGTAGGGGGGAAATTGACAATTCCAAATTTTCTTGCTTGAACAGCAGACAGATGGAGTTTCATTCATTGTGCATCTAGAAGTAGTGCAAATTAGAGAAAAAATAATTAATTTGGCTTGGACCATTCTGGTACAAAGGTCCAGTAAGCAGATATTAGGATAGGCAGCTGAGTAGAGGCAACTGAGCCATAATATTGGTTAGAAATCATGATCTTATTGACCGTCATAGAAGTAATAAGCAAAAATGAGTCCACCCAGAGAAAAGGTGTCACATCTAAAGAGTCTACATAGAGAAAGGCATTTAAGCAGTAAATGTGGTAAGGTGACACTGCAATAGAAGTTTCTACAGAGTATAGTGGGAACAGAAAAGACTGTGTGGCCTGCTCTACTTGGGAAGCTCTAGAAGTTTTATTAAAGCCAGTTTTATTAAGCTGAGTGTAGTAAGTTGAGTAGGCCTTGTCATAGACAAGGCAAGAAAGATCATGACAAGCAGAGGGCATAGCTAAAGAATGGCATGGAAATGTGAAGCAGCACAAAATGTTTGGGAAAACCACATGTAGCTTTAAACTGCTAGAGGGTAGGATACACAGAGAGGTAAGAAAAAATTTGTCAACACATGAAATTAATGAAGTGGCCAGAGACTAAATCATAAAGGCTCCTGTGTTCTAGTACTTAGCAGTTAGGGTTTTATCACCTGTGAATCTCAGTTCCTTTGATGGAAAATGGGTATAACTGTGTATACCTGCAGCCTGAGGATTACAGATAGTATGTGTCAGGTCTCTAGCATGATGCCTGGGACACAGACCCAAGAAGTCAATGTCAGCTATTACACTGCTATTAAACAGAACTCTCATTTGGGCCCCAATGTGGAAGATGGATTGAAGGTGTCGAAATGGGGGTACAATACTGACTGTAGGTAGAGGACTTGAGAAGCCAGTTCATCACCCTAGGCCACAACCATGGGGCCAGATCTAAGGAGTAGCCATGGGAGCAGAAAGGAAGAGAGTGAGCTGAGAGACGTTAAGGAGATAGAGTCAACCACCTGGGAGCTAGAGGGAGTAGGGAAGGAATCAGAGAAGTGAAGAAGGATTCTCCATGATCTGGCTTACCTACTTGGGTGATACCATTTATTAAATTGGGACTCTTCAAGGAAGAACACATCAATGAGGTAGTAAGCGTAGTTTGGGATTTTTTTCTTTTTTTTGAGACAGAGTTTTGGTTTTGTTGCCCAGGCTGGAGTACAGTGGCGCGATCTCGGCTCACTGCAACCTCCACCTCCCGGGTTCAAGTGATTCTCCTGCCTTAGCCTCCTGAGTAGCTGGGATTACAGGCGCGTGCCACCACACCCAGATAATTTTTTGTATTTTTAGTAGAGATGGGGTTTCATCATGTTGGCCAGGATGGTCTCGAACTCCTAGTTTGGGATTTTTAGTTGGGGCCAGGAATATGGAATACACATATACAGCAGTTAGATATACATGTCTGGAGTCCTTTCTAGGAGAGAAGGGGGTAGTCTTGGAGAATTCACAGGATGAGAAGAGCAATGGGACCAAGAGGGCGTCCCAAGGAATGCCAACATTTAAGGAACAGTACGGAAAGAGAAGTTGGATTTAAAAATACGTTGATTTTCATTATTCATGGCAGTTACATTCTCTGAAGCCACTGTGAACCCTGAATTAGAAAATGCTGAACCATTTCTTTTAGGGGAAATACAGGGTTAGGTTCCTGCAAGCCTCTGGTCACGATGTTTTCACCAACTTATCAGTGGTAACCTTGTTTTATGTGTGTTTCTGTTTAAAAATAACATATTTAATCTACATTGTCAATTTATTAATGTTGAACTCATGCCCGAACAAAGTTTATCTAACACTTATTTTCTTCATAAGGCATAGTATAGCTTTCTTGTGCTTGTAAACACTAAACAGCACTTCAGTACTAGGCCTGGGGCTATTTTAAACAGTAAAGTCATCAACAAAAAGCACAAATATGTGAAAATGCACACTGAATAGGCCGCAATAAGGAAACTTCTTAATAGGATGGGAACTGAAACGGGAAAGCAAAGCATCACCTTGGTCAGCCTCAGCTGAGAGCATGCCCATCGGGAAGCTCAAATTTTGTGCTCCTCTGCACATGTTTGTGAGTGACCTCAAAAACCCTATCAGGATCACTTTTGGAGTTACAAATAAATTTTAGCATAGGCAAATTTGCAAAAACAGACTCCATAAATAATAAAGGTTGACTACATATTTATTCAGGGAAAGGAATGGTCATTCTTGAGAGAAATCAGTGCTGAAAGAGACAATCAGTCTAAGAAGAAAACAAATAATAGTGTTACATTCCACCTAGAGCTTAAGTAAAATGCAGACTAGAAGAATCCATTGGATGTTGTGAATAGAAGGTTAATTGCTGGCATTTGTTAGAGGACTTTCGTGGGAGGGTTTGAAGCAAGAGTTCAGTTGCTGAGTTGGAGAATAATTGCGGGGTAAAGAAATGGAGGGAGAAGATGCACTTGTTTTCGGATGTTTTGTGGCGCTATTCAGAGGGGAATACATTCAACATTGAAATGAAAGCTCTGTGAGGATAGGGGTTTTCTTCTCCTACATTCATTGCTGCTTTCTTAGTACCTAGAACAGTTCCTAGAACATAGCAGGTACTCAACACATACTATTACCAATAGGCCTGATCTGACAGAGCTAGGAGGGGCTTTTAAAATCATATTCCCAACACTTTACAATGAAAACTGAAACCAACGAGGTTGAGCAATTTGTCTGTAGCCACACAGCTAGCTAGTGGCAAAACTATGCTAGAAACCCAAGGCTCCTCACTTTTACTTCAGTGTACTTTTTTTATTTGCGATGGGACCAAAGACGAGATAAATGGAAATGGAGCAAAAATATGTTGCCTCATCATTACAACAGCAATTGCCACATATGGACAGGCTGGATAGGCTTCCAAAGTGAAGAAAACGAAATGAAAAGCCATGTGTATACTGTGACCCCATTTTTGAAAAATAAGAATAATCTGACCTGGTGCTGTGGCTCATGCCTATAATCCCAGCACTTTGGGAGGCTAAGGCAGGTGGATTACCTAAGGTCAGGAGGTCGAGACCAGCCTGGCCAACATAGTGAAACTCCGTCATTACTAAAAATACAAAAATTAGCCAGTCATGGTGGCGGGTGCCTGTAATCCCAGCTACTCAGGAGGCTGAGGCAGGAGAATTGCTTGAACCCAGGAGGTGGAGGCTGCAGTGACCCAAGATAGCGCCACTGCACTCCAGCCTGGACAAGAGAACCAGATTGTCAAAAAGAAAGAAAGAAAGAAAGAAAGAAGGAAAGAAAGAAAGAAAGAAAGAAAGAAAGAAAGAAAGAAAGAAAGAAAGAAAGAAAGAAAGAAAGGAAAGAAAGAAAGAAAGAAAGAAAGAAAGAAAGAAAGAAAGAAAGAAAGAAAGAAAGAAAGAAAGAAAGGAAAGAAAGAAAGAAAGAAAAAGAAGAAGAAGAATCTAGCTGGCATACCTATTGAAAAAAATTGAGGATCACTAGACTACTAAAGTGGTTTTCTCTGCAGGTAGAATTACGAGGCACCTTCACTTTTTACAATACATATTTCTTCAGTGTTTAAAATTTATTTAATGTATATATTACTTCTATTGAGAAAAATAAATTTTAAAAACACTTTAAGAGTTTATAGAGAAAATTCTATTACTGTTAGAACTGGATTGTACAATGTTGCCTAAGTAGGAAATTAGCAGATCTTTGGCCAACATGTAGAACAAGTTTTGTGAGGTCGCCTGCCACACCCCGGAACAGCCATGGAAGCTTCCTTCAAACATCAGAGCAATCTGGAAGGAGAATAAGAGAAGATACAATTGCTACTGTAAAGTAAGAGAAAGAGAAGGTGATGGGAAGAAAGAGAGAGACATTCCCACTGTGAGAGGTTGAGGTGTGCTAAAAACAAACCGCAGAGAATCGAGGGATTAATAACAAAGGCTCCTACTGAGAAAGAAAATGACTCAGAGATTTGTAGTATCAAGAATAGAGGGTTTCCTGCCCACTCCTACTCCCACCTCCTTGCTCAGCTCACAGTCACCCAAGCACGCACACACAGCTCTGCCATGCTCCTGTGTGCAGTTTGCAAGGTATTAAACCCTCAGAGCCAACTCCATCAGGGCTGCTTGAGGATTCATGGAAATAGTTAAGCCAGCAGCAGGCTCATAATAAGTTATTATCATGGTAGTTGAATGAAAAGGCAAGCTCAGTTTGTATACACCTTAGGGAAAGTCACAGATGTAGTTCATGCTACATATACATTTTCTCTTAATTAAACATTGTTCTATAGCATTATTGGAAGTGCAAATCATTGAGTGTACAATTGTCCTGCTTGAAGACAATCCAGAGAGCTTCTCACACAGTGGCTATGTTTTTTGAGAACATAGTTTAGGGGGAAAAAAGATGGTTTAGGGGGCTTGTTAGCCAAGTTCAGAGCTCTAAATTCATAGCACATTTTTTAAAGTCAGTGAGCAAAAAGTTTAGAACTCCAAGACAGGCATCAAGCATAACGCTTTCAATTTAGATGCCACTTGGTAGCAATTAGACATTCCCAGCATTGGTTTCTCAGTGCTCCTCCAATGCGGCTCCTTCCCTGGAATCATTTCAAGCATCCAAGTAGGACAGGAGGCCTCCACCCCTCTCATTCCCAAACTCACATGCTCCTCATGCCTCCTGGCAAATTAGGGGGTGAAAAGGAGCATCGTGTATCATCCAGCTCCAAGCACGTAAGGGCCAACTGCTGCTTCCCTTGCAAGGTGATTTGTGATAGAAATGCCTAGTCCTACTATATATTGATGTGCAAAAATGTGAAACTTTTATACTCAAGATAACTGACAGGGGCCACTCTCTTTCTCATTGAAAGCACTAAAGGATTTTCTCTCTTCCCTAAAAGAAATATCACAAGGCCCCAAATATTATTGAGGCTATAAAGACTTAATAATTAAAGCAGAGTGGTACTGCTAAATGAATTCACAAATAGACCAATGGAAAAGATGCAGAGTCAGAATTATAAGCAAATGCCTATGGGGATTTGGTATATGACAAAGGCAGCATCCCAAATCAGTCATGATGATTTTTAAATAGAACAATGGTGGGGCGATTGGGTAGTCAGGAGCAAAAGGACAAAGTTAGATCCATAACTAACGTAATACTCATCAGAATAAACTCCAAATAATTCAAAGATTTAAAGATGAGGGGGAAAGGAATTGTCAAAATATGATAAAATGCAGGCAAATCCCTTTGTAACATCAGTGTAGGGAAGGCCTTTCTAACTATGGCTGAAAATCCAGAGATCATGAGAGAGTAATGATGCTTAACTACATAAACAAACAAAGGCCCTCTGAAGGCAAAAGAGTAGTAATAATAATAACACACCAAGGCAAAGTCAAAAGATAAGTGGCAAACCAGCAAAAATATTTGTAACTCATCTCAGGCATAGACTCCCCTACACATATTTTTCACAGAAAGGAAATATACCCTTAAACATATGAAAATACTCTCAACCTCAGTCATGAAAAAAAACAACTATTAAGTCAGAACTGCTCTAGGAAACCATTTCTCGCCTATCAGATTGGCAAAAATCCAGTGTGACAACACACTCTATTGGCAGGGCAGTGGAGGGGACTCTTATCTAATGCTAGTGGGAGAGTCCTGTGAAGGACAATTTGGCAATAACCATGTAAAGCGCATTTACTCTTCGACCCAGCAATCCCACTTCTGGGAGTTTATCCTACAGATACCACTGCATAAGCAAATTCATTGCAATGTTTTTTGTAATTACAAGACTGCAAACAACCTAAACGCCCATTCATGGAGGCTGGTTAGATACGCTGTGGGACAGGTACACAAGGAATACTATGCAGATGTAAACAGTAAAAAGTGCATGTTCTCTATGTATTATTAAAATACTTAGAGTAAAAAAGGTGAGGACAGAGTGCAGCTTTTGTGTAAAAAAAAAAAGAATAAACAGGTATTTATATTTGCATTTAAAAAGGATGAGATGAATATGCAAGAAACTAATAAAAATGCTTACTAATTTAGAGGGAGAATCAGGGTGAATGGGGACAAGGGTAGAAATAAAATATGTTTTTATATGTAATTGCTTTATATTGTTTTGATTTTGAACTATATATGTATATATTATTTATTGAATTAATGAATTTAAATTTTAAGGAACTATAATGTTGGCATAGAGTAAGATATAAAGACCAAAAAATACCCCATGCTTTTGCCTCCTCCTTTCGTTGTAACAAGTAAATCACATCCTCAGGTAAGGATTTGTCCAAGCCTTGCAGAACTATGCTTTCCTAGGGACATTTATTGAGTCACTCTTTTTCCCACTGAAGGAAGGTTTATTACATGACAGATGGACAGGAGCCTCTACTTACAGAATGACACAGGAATAGGAGCTCTATCGGCTCAGACACAGGAATGAGATCACAGGCAGACTTCATATTTGAAGGGAAGGCAGGACATGAGAGCACTGGTGTGTGGTTGGAGATAAACTGCCATTATAATCCCTCACCCAAGACGGGGAATCTGGAATATACTGTGCAGGAGAGCTGAACAAAGCAGGACTCTACAGTCAAGGGGCTGCAGCTTGCAGATTCAGTCTGCCTGTGTATGGGCTACATTTTCTATGAGAAGCAATATACCATGGTGCTCAAGACCAGCAACATACCTGGTCTCCAAGGCCAGTTAGGCATGGCTTGCAGCCCCAACTACACCATTTATGAAGGATATGGACTTGGCGAAGTTACTCAGTTTCTGTAAACCTCAGTTTCCTCATCTGTAAAATACAGGTAATAATAGGCAAAAGTACATAAGATTATCCTCATTCAGGCATTTGGTACAATGTCTGACACATAGTAAGTGCCCAGTAAATAGAAACCATTCATGTGATTTGGCCTGTACTAAAGGGAGCCTGTTCTCTATCTCATCAAGGCTGCACATCATTGCAAGGTTTTGTTGTTGTTTGTTTGTTTGTTTGTTTGTTTGTTTGAGATGGGGCCTCACCATGTTGCCCAGGCTGGTCTCAAACTCCTGGGCTCGAGCAATCCTCTTGCCTTGGCGTCCTGTTGCATTTTGAAGGAGGGATATCGGATACTTGCACTATCTCCCTTTTATTTTATTTTCCATTTCAACTCATATTTTAAGTTAAACAGTAAAACCCCCATTTTCACAGCTCCTGATGGAGCCATGTGAGTGAAGGTGTGCATGTGAGTGAGGCTAGTCTCCCAAGAGAACCTACTCTTCATATGCAAACCTGGAGGGGGACCCCGCACAGCAGGAAACAGGCCACTTAGAGCAATTTAATCCCGTGTGAAAGAAAATCTAAACTAAGTTTGGACATCTTTGATTGAACTCAGCACATCTTTTACAACCAGTTAAATCATTAGACTTCAGAAAATCTTTTCAATGTGGGTGCCAAACAGCCAGTTTGGCTTTAGCTGTTTTGTAATCACCTTGGTTCCTCAATTTTCTCATCTCATTGTTCATGTTAACCGTAATATCTGTACCTAAGGGAAGATTCCGTAAATACTTTACTTGGTAACTAAGAAATGAGCCACTACCAGAGAAATCATTTCACTGCCACATCAGTGCAGGGGAGTTTAGCTGTTATTTTCTCAGATATCATAAGCTCTAAGAGGCTGATGCTTATCTGAGAATCCCATTTAAGGAAATTGCGCATGCTTAACTCTAGTGGTGTTTCTATGGCCATTTCACAATTATATAAGGAGGAATCAATTTAATAAGAACTTTATTGGAATCAATACATTTGATTGGCCTAGTTTCACAAGCACCTTGGCAATGCCACATTCTCAAAAATCAGCCACATATGAAACCAGTGTGCATGCAAGGATAGTTATCAAGTACTTAGTGAAACTCGCTAAATTATCAAAGAAGATGGGGGAGGCTGCTATGACTTGGAAAGGCCAGATGGAAAGAAAAGCATAGACTGAAACAGAGTCACTTCATAGTTACACACTGAGGCCCAGAAGTAGACCAATCTCATTTTAAATTTTTCCTCTGCCCCCTACTAATTTTGTGAAACTCAGAAAATTTCTGAACCTCTCACCTCAGGGTCCTCCTCTGAAGGATAAGGAAAATCATAGTAATGGGAAGTAATGAGGTCATTTGTGAATCTCAGAGGTAAAGAGATTATTTGTGAAGGCCACTTAGTACAACACTTAATATAAGCACCCAAAACTACAGATATTATTTAATAAAGCTGCCACATGTAACCTGATAAATCTGTCAAATACAAATAATAATTGTCCTTATTTCTTATGGTTATTGTGGTCCTAAGTGAGTTAATGTATATAAACAGACTAGAAGTGGGATCCTCATGAGCTCAGTAAGTGTAAGGACTATGATAACAAAGAATCCTCCTCCTATTACTATAATTATTATCCAGTCCTTCTTTAGGGAAGAAGAAAAATCAGCCTGGAATTGAAATTTTAACTTAATCAATAGCTTGAGCCACCTCAATTGCTGATATTTTACCACTTTTTACCTGCAAAAAACTAGCAATTTCTTTCTTTCTTTTTTTTTTGAGACAGAGTCTTGCTCTGTCACCCAGGCTGGAGTACAGTGGCTTGATCTTGGCTCACTGCAACTTCTGCCTCCTGGTTTCAAACGATTCTTGTGCCTCAGCCTCCTGAGTAGCTGGGATTACAGGCATGCGCCATCACATCCAGCTAATTTTTGTATTTTTAGTAGAGATGGGGTTTCACCATGTTGGCCAGGCTGTTCTCGAACTCCTGGCCTCAAGCGTCCGCCCACCTTGGCCTCCCAAAGTACTGGGATTACAGGCGTGAGCCACTGCACCCAGCCAAAAATAGCAATTTCTTATGGTTCAATTTAATAATTGAATTTAATGTTCATTTAATTTAAACCTGCTGTCTCAAAGAAGCAAGTGCAACTTTTCTCAGTACAACTTAATTTCATGTGTGATGTCTTAAGGTTGCACTTTTAAGGACTAGCCCCTTAGACTGGGTATTTTCATCTAGGTCACCACTTTTTTTTTGTTTTCTAGTCAGGATCTCGCTCTGTTGCCCAGGCTAGAGTGCAGTGGAGCGCCATCACAGCTCACTGTAGCCTTGACCTCCTGGGCTCAAGTGATCCTCCCACCTCAGCCTCCCTGGTAGAGTAGTCAGAACTACAAGTACATGCCACCATGCACAGCAATTTTTTTCATTATTTGTAGAGATGCGGGTCTCCAAATGTTGCCCAGGCTGGTCTTGAACTCCTGGGCTTCAAGCAGTCCTTCCGCCTTGGCCTCCCAAAGTGCTGGAATTACAGACATGAGCCACCGCATCCGGTCATAGGTTACCACTTTTGACATTTATGTAGCTGCCACCAGGTGCCTGGTGGTGCCCCAGCCTCAGGCTCCGTGGGACAGCCAACTGAGCTCTCCTAGGCATACCCAAAATACAGCTGCATTAACTATCTAGTGCAATTATTTTTACCAAGCTCTAATTGCTTAGTAAAAGCAAAGTAATATGCAATTTAGACTAAGGTTTTTTTATAAATAAAAATAAATATGTGGGTCCACTGTGACACCATTCTTATACTGACATAGTTGAATGGCTGTCTTTGCGTGTTTAGAATAAACTTGGTATTCTTTATTCTTCTCTAATGAAAACCTTTTCATTTTTCACTTATACCTCAAATGTCAAAAAAATTGTATGAGGCTCCTCAGATCTAGAGTCAGAATCTCTTGCTGTCAGTTGAACTTTGGCATGTAACTCTCAGCTGGCTACTGATTTCAGAGGAAGCTGGAGGTGCCCACTCATCCACCTCTCCAAAGCAGTAGAGATGAATGTAATGTGGCTTTGAAGGTAAAAGACCTGAGTTTGGATTTCAACTTAGCCTCAACTTTCTTACTGGCAGAAGAAAGACAGTACTCACAAGATCATTCGAAAGATTGAATTAAATAATGTGGACTCCTCATGGATCTAGAGTCAGAATCTCTTGTTTTCAGTTGAACTTTGGCATCTAACTAACTCTCAGCTGGTCACGGATTTGAGAGGAAGCTGGAGGTGCCCCTCATCCGCTTATTACTGATGACTGTTACTTCCCTTCTAGTAATAGCTAATGTGTAGTGAGTGTTTGCTGTGTACAGGTGGCTATGTAAGAATCCTATGTGGACCTGCTTGTTTAATTCTTATGTGAGGAGCTCAACACAGGCTTAGAAAAGCCCAGTAACTTGCCTAAGATGACATAGTACCTATCAAAGCTGAGATCTGAACCCTGTCAAAGCCCACAGCTCGTGTGTTTAATCACTGCACCTCCCATAGAGATGCTTTTCTGAAAAAAAATCGCAAGCTGATGAACACTTTGTATTTTCACTTATCAAATGTATAGAACTTGTACAACTAAAGGGGCTTGGAGAAGTGGTTCTCAACTGGTTCTTGCAGAGACACCTCCAATGGTACTACAACTTTCCGAAGAGCTAAAGTAGTGCCCACAAAGTGCAGGCTACAAGCTCGGCTGTACCAGAAACACAGTTTTATTTATTTTTCACTGTAATAATACTTAACTTCTCTTCAAAGTCCCATTCAGGTGGGTGGTAGAATGGGGCCAACTTCAGGCACTTGTAATCAAGAATCTTTCTAATTTTTGTATTATGTCTATTGCTACCATTACTTTTCTGCCACCAGAGTGGGGAGGAAGGAAGCTGGTCCTGTGTCATCACCTGTCCACTCTTTTATTTTTTTCTTTTGAGACAGGGTCTCACTGTGTCACCCAGGCTGGAGTGCAGTGGCACGACCTCGGCTCACTGCAGCCTCTGCCTCTGGGCTCAAGCAGTCCTCCCACCTCAGCCTCCCGAGTAGCTGGGACTACAGGCATGTGCTACCATGCACAGCTTTTTTTTTTTTTTTTTTTGTAGAGACGGGGTTTCACCACATTGCCTGGGCTGGTTGTGAACACCTGAGCTCAAGTGATCCATCCACATCAGCCTCTCAAAGTGCTGGGATTACAGGCATGAGCCACAGCGCCTAGCCCCACCTGTTCATTCTCTCATCCACTGAGATGTGCTCCTTCCTGAATGATCTTTGACTGTCCATGCCCACAGGCATGGCTCCATTTCAATCACGTTTGAGCCTCTCTCCAAAGTACAGAACAAATTGGAGTGGTCTCCCATAACTCGCTGTGGCCATGGGAAATTCTGGATGCTGTCATACAACCTTTCTGCCAAGATAGGTCACAGGTCACACAGCCATTTCTACTTTTTGCCAGACATAGGGCAAGGAGGAGGCAGATTTCCAAAAGTTTGCCATCTTTCTGGACTGCACCAGGGAAGTAAGACAGAGGTCCCAAACCAGTGGTATGAGGAACAAATGCTTAACAATCAGCTCTCCAAAGAGAAAAGTTCTGATCTGTAGCAGTTGCCAATTTCTGCAGTGTAAATATTCCCACCATGGTCAATTTCAAGCAAGCAACATGAGAGCACCAAATGAGGCGTTGGGAAGAAATGCTCCAGTGAGTCCTGAGGGTGAAGCTGTCTCCAGCACACCATTGCTCCAAACGAACCAAAACGTCCACAGTCCTCACTCAGCCAACCCAGGGCTCCATTTAGGAGAGTCTCAGGGAATAGGCCCTCCTTAGGAACACACCAACATTTACCCCTTCTCTTTCCCATTTTCATTCCCAGTCTGGCTGGGAGCTAGAAACATTGGCTTTGCCTGCCCACGTTGTCATCCAATTTTTATCTTTCAAAAACAAAACCAAAAGCCAGGCTCTACTTCTCCAGTTATGCAGTGACAACCCTCTGGTTGTAATGGCTTATGTACTATAATAGATAATCATGGCTTCTTGCCTAGTGCTGAACTGAGGGAGAAAAATAGTTTAACAGAAAATATCAGATTTGGGAGAAAGAGGTGGGAAGAATCTATATTCACTGTATCAAAATAGTATCTCACTACATTACAGAGAATTCACTCCCTCTCGCATCTCCCAAAGCGCCTGCCAGCACTGTTTCCCAAGGATTCGACCACTTGTTTCCAGCACTCGCCCAATTCCTTAGGAGGTGAAGACTCAGCATGGCTTCAGTGAATGCCTCAAGAGTGGGCACAGGGCTCAGATCAAAAGATGCGAACGTGCTGTAATGCCTGTTCGGGTTGACCCTCCTGGCCCTTAGGCCACTGCCCTAACTGCCCGTGTTTCACTTGTTAGTTACATTTTTTTAAACACCAAGTTGAGATAATTTTTATCCCTTCCAGATCTCTCACCTCCCATAAAATAAAGCTATGTATAGGAAATAAGATAGAAAAGAGCAATCATAGTTAGCAATTATTGAGCTCTAACTCAGTGTTATGTACTTCAATGCATGAGATGATTTATTCTCACAAAAATCATTTCAGAAAATGTATAATTATTATTCCTATTTACTCAGCAACTGGAGCTCAGAGTTTGGTAACTTGCCCAGGATCACAGAGCTAACAAGTGGCAGAACATGCTCTTGTCTGACCCAATAGTATAAGCTTCTTTTAAAATTAACATTTGTGGGCCAGGTGTGGGGGCTCAAGCCTGTAATCCCATCACTTTGGGAGGCTGAGGTGGGAGATCAGCTGAGGCAGTTCAGCCTGGCCAACATGACGAAACCCTGTCTCCACTAAAAAAATACAAAAATTAGCTGGGCTTGATGGCACACCCCTGTAATCCCACCTACTTGGGTGGCTGTGAGGCAAGAGAATCACTTGAACTCGGGAGGCAGAGGTTTCAGTGAGCCAAGATAGCACCACTGCACTCCAGCCTGGGTGACAGAGCAAGACTCCGCCCCCGCAAAAAAAAAATTAACATTTGTTAATTTTTTCTAGCTCCTTGGTGGTCTTGTTAAGATTATTAAAGAAAATTTATTGTACAGAGACTTGTGGAGATTGAGTCATTCACTCAGGAAAATATGGTGAGTGAATATATTCTAAACACATCTGAGTTGGTGTCATGCCGTGTCTAGATTTGAGATCCCCTACAAAGGCCAAGGAAAAGGTAAATTCTGGAGTCCTAGAGTAACCAGTGCCTTAGACACAAAAGAGAATGTGCTCCATGCACATAGAAAACCAGAAGGGCAAAGACAAGGCAAATATTCCTTAAAGCAGGTTGGTTTGGCAGAAGGAAAAATTTGTTACATTTTTATCTTTGAGTGCACACAAAGGAACAGTGGTAAATGACACAATGGTAGTGTGTTGGTGTTGTCATTAACACACATGGGAACATGTACTCATGCGCACACACAAGCCACGCAACTCATATATTTTACTGTGGCTTAGATGGACTTTTTTTTTTTATTAGCAACTAGGAAATAGAGTTTGCCGAAGGGAACCTAGCATGGGAAAAAGTAAGACTCGCTGGCTCTGCTGTTGTTCAGAGAGAAGAGGAAATGGAAATTACTTGTCACAGTAAATCTAAAATTTCCTGAAGTATCAGTCGAAACTAATCCTTCTCCTTATATGGGATTAACAAATAATTTTTAAAAAGCTAGTTGTCTAGTAAATTATTTTGTAATTTGTGACTGTGACTTTTTAAGATTAAACAGATTTCTACTTATATACTAAGATTAATGTGTTGTACACAGCAGAAAATGTCTGGAATTGTTGCAGACAGTTTTAATTAGTGAATGAAAATAACCACTAAATCTGTATAATAAGGAGGGTCATCAGATATTTTTCTAGAAGCTTCTCTAATACAAAATATTCACTGTTTCTGAGTTTTATTTTTATTATTATTTAAGTAGTGACTGAAGAGCTGTATATGTTGATGTATGTCTCTACTATTCTGTATTTTTATATGTCTTCAAATTATTAAAATAAATCTGAATAAAATTTTTTGGGTCCCCACATTTTGATTCTGACTGATAAAAGAAACTGACATGTTGTTAGTGTATTGATCCATAATATTTTTAAAGTCTTGGCAGCAAAAGAACAAAGCTGGAGGCATCACACTACCTGACTTCAAACTATACTACAAGTCTACAGTAACCAAAACAGCATGTTACTGGTACCAAAACAGAGATATAGACCAATGGAACAGAACAGAGCCCTCAGAAATAATACCACACATCTACAACCATCTGATCTTTGACAAACATGACAAAAACAAGAAATAGGGAAAGGATTCCCTGTTTAATAAATGGTGCTGGGAAAACTGGCTAGCCATATGTAGAAAGCTGAAACGGGATCCCTTCTTTATACATTATATGAAAATTAATTCAAGATGGACTAAAGACTTAAATGTTGGACCCAAAACCATAAAAACCCTACAAGAAAACCTAGGCATTACCATTCAGGACATAGGCATAGGCAAGGACTTCATGTCTAAAACACCAAAAGCAATGGCAACAAAAGCCAGAATTGACAAATGGGATCTAATTAAACTAAAGAGCTTCTGCACAGCAAAAGAAACTACCATCAGAGTGAACAGGCAACCTACAGAATGGGAGAAAATTTTTGCAATCTACTCATCTGACAAAGGGCTAATATCCAGAATCTACAATGAACTCAAACAAATTTACAAGAAGAAAAAAACCCCAACAAAAAGTGGGCGAAGGATATGAACAGACACTTCTCAAAAGAAGACATTTATGCAGCCAACAGACACATGAAAAAATGCTCATCATCACTGGCCATCAAAGAAATGCAAATCAAAACCACAGTGAGATACCATCTCACACCAGTTAGAACGACAATCATTAAAAAGTCAGGAAATAACAGGTGCTGGAGAGGATGTGGAGAAATAGGAACACTTTTACACTGTTGGTGGGACTGTAAACTAGTTCAACCATTGTGGAAGACAGTGTGGTGATTCCTCAAGGATCTAGAACTAGAAATACCATTTGACCCAGCCATCCCATTACTGTGTATATACCCAAAGGATTATAAATCATGCTGCTATAAAGACACATGCACATGTATGTTTATAGCGGCACTATTCACAATAGCAAAGACTTGGAACCAACCCAACTGTCCAACAATGATAGACTGGATTAAGAAAATGTGGCACATATACACCATGGAATACTATGTAGCCATAAAAAAGGATGAGTTCATGTCCTTTGTAGGGACATGGATGAAGCTGGAAACCATCATTCTCAGCAAACTATCACAAGGACAAAAAACCAAACACCACACGTTCTTACTCATAGGTGGGAATTGAACAATGAGAACACTTGGACACAGGAAGGGGAACATCACACACCAGGGCCTGTTGTGGGGTGGGGGGAGCGGGGAGGGATAGCATTAGGAGATATACCTAATGTAAATGACGAGTTAATGGGTGCAGGACACCAACATGGCACAAATATACACATGTAACAAACCTGCACATTGTGCACATGTAGCCTAGAACTTAAAGTATAATAAAAAAATTAAAAATAAAAAATAAACAAAAAGTCTTGGCAGCAACGATTCATAGTAATTTATTTATTTATTTATTTACTTACTTATTTATTTTTGAGATGGAGTCTTGCCCTGTCGCCCAGGCTGGAGTGCAATGGTGCTATCTCAGCTCACTGCAACCTCTGCCTCCCGGGTTCAAACAACTTTCCTGTCTCAGCCTCCCGAGTAGCTGGGATTACAGGCACCCGCCACCACACCCAGCTAATTTTTGTATTTGTAGTAGAGATGGGGGTTTCACCATGTTGGCCAGGCTGGTCTCGAACTCCTGATCTCGTGATCCACCCACCTAGGCCTCCCAAAGTGCTGGGAATTACAGGCGTGAGCCACCGCACCTGGCCGGTAATTGATTTAAATGATCATGCTAGGGTATTTGTTAGTGCCAGGTATATGTTTTCAAATTAGTAAAGCACTTCGGATGTTTCATCTTTGCAAAATTACAAGTTAAACTTCATATTACTCGTTCCTTGTGGAACCAAAATTTAGTATTGCCATACAACCTATTTTCGATTTTCTTTTGGTTTCCCCAGAACCTTAACTGTTTTGACCTGAATAGTTTTTTGACAGGAACATTGAATGCTAAGGTACTCACTGTGGGCAAATTTTTCCTGAGATGCCCAAACTCTGACTATCATTGAAGTTATGAGTGTAAAGTGCCTGCATCTTCCCATAATGTGTGGCATTTGGGTTAGTTTATATTTTCTTCTTAAAATTA
Source organism: Homo sapiens (assembly GCF_000001405.40). Classification (NCBI taxonomy): domain Eukaryota; kingdom Metazoa; phylum Chordata; class Mammalia; order Primates; family Hominidae; genus Homo; species Homo sapiens. Next base: position 68,290,079 of record NC_000012.12, read on the forward strand.
CAAAACTGAGTTTAATTTAATTCACCTTATTCAAAAAAAACTTGCAGCAAACATAGGAAATCTTTGATATTGGGCACGCATTCATTCAGGGACCAACCTTGACTATCTTTCCTTTCATCAGTAATTATCGTGGGTACTTTATCTCTGCATTTCCTGACTCAAAGCTGATAACATCTCCAATTCATGGTTACGCTAATATAGTTTGCATTTATCAGGTAATTAGTTCCACCTTCTAGAGTAGCTGAGTCACAACACTGTAGTCAGTCTTTTTTCGCTTTACCACATAACGGAAATAGACAAATCATTTCAGCACCCCTACCTGAAACTGCCTCTGGGTAAGCTGAATGTAGGTCACAACTGATAGGTCTGTGATGAGAGGCCACGATTTCAGGGTACCCTGTCACCTGCTTATTAGATTTAACCTTAGCCTCTCTAAAACAAGGCTTTTTTTCTTGTTGTTTTAATGAAAATTTGCCGACATAATAAAACTAAACATTTTGAAGTGAATAACATTTAAATAGCATATATGAAAACTTCACAGACCTTATGCCATTTAATCTGAAAACTAAATTGGTGAGTGATCTTAATCTGCAAGATGAGGAATACAAGCTCAAAGTTCAATTGGCTTGCTCAAGGTGGAGTTAGGACTAGAACATAGGCTACTATAACCCCAAAGCCAGTTGTTCCCAAACTACCTATGAGAATCTGGAAGATTACACATATAGATTCCTAGGCCGTCTCTGCATAGTCTCCCTCTGTAAGTCTATTGTTATTTGTGGCTTGTTTTTATTTTCTAGGTGGACTTCAGCCAAGAAAATAAACTAAACCAAACCATTTGTATAAGCCAAGGAATATGTAAGTGGTATAATAAATATTAAAGCAGCTTATCTTGAGCTGGCTTTCTGAAGTAGATTGTTTTCTCTGTCAGGCAAGTGATATGGAAAGTTTAGGAGAGACTGAGGCAGTAGCTAGTGATGGGCTTGTAAACCGCCTCCCAGTAAATGGGAGAAGCCCTAATTTATGGCATCTGTTGATTTCAGTGGTGTAAATACTCCCACCATGGCCAATTTCTAACTACTGATAACTTTAACAACTTGCTCACAACATTCTTATTTAATGATTGGCCCATGAGTTAGCTCCAGCATAATACTGGCATGTAGACTGTATAGGGGAGAAACTGAACAATTTCCCAGCATTATCTAAATTGTCCATTATGTGGTCTGAATTGGTGTAAACTCCCCAAACATTACTCTACCTGTTGGCCTCATGTTCTGATTTCCAAAGGTGGCTTAGTGTCCCCCAAGTCCTCATTTCTCAATTTCCAGATATGCTTTATATGGATATAGGGCAGAATGAAACTACGGATGGAGACTAGTGGGTAGAGCACTTCGTAGAAGAGAAATGGATGCCATCTTTAAGATGACTCATCCTTTGCTCTTACCTGCCACATGGCAGGAGTCACAGGATGGGGAGCTGCCTCCTGTATAAGAGCCTCAGGGTGGGAATGAAACATGACATATGATTTAAAGAAGCTTGGCTCTAAGCCTGAGAGCAAAGGGCTGGGTCTTTCTGTGCCTCCACTTGCCATGGGAGAAAGACACGTATGGTTAGATTGCAGAGTCAACATTAGCAAGAAAGTTCATCAGCACGGAGCTGAAGAGATCAGTAGCCTGCTTTTAGTCCATGAGTCAAGCTCATGGGGCAAGTTGGCTTCTCAGAGACCCCATGTGACCAGACCCATTGGTGCACAACCCTAGCTAGTCCAATGACATAGACTGTTGTTTGGCCTGGAGTAATCTCTATCAGCAGAATCACCTTGGGAAACTGAGTAATGGTGGTTTGACAGACTGGGCCCTGAGCACACTAACATGACTACCACTTTCAGATGTAAAAGTACCAAAAACATATTCCAAAACCAAATAGAAATAATTCTGGGATCATCTACCATTTTACATTATTTGTTCCTTTGGTAAACTTCCAGAAGTCAGGATATTTTCTGGATGTCTGATATGTGCATGCACAATTAAAACAAAAATATATAATCCATCCTTGAGCTCCCTAAGTAGCCAACTTCAACACTTCTCTACTTAAGGACAAGCTTGTTTTGAATATTAATTTGCTTTCATTCTGGTTGAATCCATTTGTACAATAATTCAATGCTCACATATTCTTTTTCCCGACTAGAAAAGGTAGTCATTTATCTTCCAAGAAGGCAAAGTAGAAAATTAACTCCCAAATGAATCAACCAGAGAGAGAACTGAATCACAGTGGGACTTGCAATTTTAGCATACACACTTCAAAGGAGTTAGTGTGGGTGGATTTCGAGTAAGGAGGCCTAGATTTAATTCACCAGCCTTCAGATCTTGGGCCAGTTATTTCATCTAAGTCGGTCTTCCCATCTGTAAAATGATATTTATGCTTAAATCTCATGGTAACATTTCCTCCTATGTACCAAGCATATTTATCATGTTATTTATCCTTAATCGTCACAACTATCCTTCAAGGTTTAATTTTGAGTTCAGAATTCCATGGGGATCCAGAGATGAGACCAGAAATTAACATGCGAAACCTCCCATGTATGTGTTTTGGTGCATTTTTATAAGGGCTCTCAAACACGGATACACTGAGAATCTCAACACCTGGGGTGAAGATGGGGGAGGGGCAGAGAAAAAAGCAGGTAGGTGTATGCATTTTAGAAAAACCACTCGTTGCAGTTCTGCGGTTGGCTCCCCAGTGTGGCTTGTGAGATATTAATTTAGACGAAAAGATCAAGCTACCAGTTTATAATATTTATTTGAGTATATACTGTATACTCAAAGCAGAAGTTATATTCAAGATGAATAAAAATTGAATTACCTGGATATTCTGCAGAGAAATGAAAGCATATATCTACACAAAGACTTGCACACCAATACTGATAGCAGTTTTATTCATTATAATCCCGAACTGAAAACAACCCCAAAGTCCACCAGCAAGTGAATAAAGAGGCAACATGCGCACCAAAACATGGATGACTCTCAAAAATATTATGCTAAGTAAAAGCCAGGCATAAAGGATGGCTCCATTTATATAAAATTCCTGTAAACTAATTTATACCAACAGAATGCAGATTATTGGTTGCCTTGGGGACCAGGGGTGGAAGGACAGACTGACTGCAAAAGAATATGAAGAAACTTTTGGGGTGATGGAAACATAATGTATCATGATTGTGGTGTTAGTTTCACAGATGTGTACATCTATTCAAACTCACTGAGCTCTAATTTTTTTAACAACTGCAGTTTAAAGTATGCCTTAATAAAACTAATAAAAATTTGAATTAGCAATCCCAGCTCCTGAATACTAGCAAATCTCAAGGGGCAGTTGTCATGTAACTAAGACTACTCACCAACCCAAATGCATGTCTTCTGAGTTACCCTTAGTATGAGCAATTAAAACACTACTGGGCCCTCAACACTATTCTCTCCCCTGAGTCACTGAATAGGGTTTTTAACAGAAGCAGTCAATAACTGCAGAGCTAAATTGTTGCATAGAGACTGGGTTCATGACCTTGTCCCCATGAGAACTATATCCTAATCCTTCTAACACCTGATAGATCAAGTTCATGTGGTTTGATTCACTCCAGTGGGTGTACCCAGATTTTACATCTACAGCTTAGATAAAATAGACTGAGTTATGCAAAATTCCCTGCAAGCTAGCTCTAATTCCCTTCTTTACCATACATCAGTGGTCAGCCATTGAAAACTCTGTCCTAACCAACTAGACTAACCAACCTTTGAGGAAGAGGAAAATATGTATCTAGAGAGGTAAGTTCCAAACCTATTTTACAATTAACATGCCTCAGTTCAGATATGTATAGAAGCCAATTTGTGTTCTAAAGTCCACTTATACTGTAATTTCAAACTTTTATTTTCATATTTAATGCCTTAGTAGCCTTTAATGAACAAACTAGTTTAAAGGTCAGTGGAAGATAGGCAAATATTTGTATGCCTACAGTTCTTTAAAACTTCATGATAATGTAAGATCTTTAACAAACTTATTGTGAACCAACGATTTGCAAATGCACTTTTGACCAATTATCACTTTAGAACAGATTGTTCACTTGTTTTCTAACCAATAAGCATGAATATTCTGTATATTTTAGCTTCAGTACTTTCTATGTATTACTGTAAAGATTTTATGTAATATAGTTGTAAAATCCATATTTTTTAGAAACTTAAATTTATCATGATTTGCAAGATAAACAGTATGACAACAGAACATGTCCCATGAGTGAAGAAATATATTTAAAAAGTTTTGTGTTAAATTTCTGTAAATGAGTCTGCCTTGGAAATTCTTTGTCCCACATTTGTGCGAAAATATCACAGACTTGGCTCCATTCCATTCTGACAGCTGCAAAACAAGTATAACTGTTCATTAACCTGTTAGGAGTAGAATTCTTCTACAAGATAATTATTTGTTCCATGTAATAACTTTCTGGAGAAGCCAAACGCACTTGATCCATTTTTATTTCAAAATGTCTACAAAGTTTTAATTCTCCATTATACAGGTAATTTTTCAAAATCTAGACATTATTCAAATGTAAGCCAAAGTCCTTACACAAATAGAATACACTCAAAGATCAAAAATATACATATCTTTCAGCAAACTTTGTTACATAAATAAGAAAAATATATACAGCTGGTGTTTTCAAAGTACAATTATCTTAACACTGCAAACATGTATAGAAGGAACTAAAATAAAAAGAAACACTACAGCAAAGGTTAAAGGAACAACAAATTCATTTTACAACATCATCAATTATAAAGATACATATATCAAATCTTAGGGGAATATATACTTCACACTGGGATCTTAACTTTTACTTCACTTTGTTTATTTTTTTAGAATACTCTCTGGATAGGTGAAAATCTATCCATGACACCTATTACGAAAGTTACATGTGAAGAATTCAATAATCTAGGTCTTTGTACTCTGGGATAGATGTAAAAAGAATTCTTTAAAAGTTAAATTTGTATAAGCCTATGTTAACAATTTCCAAGTAAACTGTTCTATTGGAAATTAAATATTTCAAAGTAGAAAACGTTAGGAAAAACTTCACTCAAAAAATTTTAACACAGTAAGCAATAAAGAAAAATTATGCCAATGTTTCCTTAGATAAAGGCAACTCAGCTAGGTTTATGTTTTACCCCAGAAATTCTCCTTCCTTTTCTTAGCTCGTGCCAGAGTTTGAAAAGCCCGGAGACTAGAAGCTGCAGAGCGAGCAGAAATCTCAGACAATCTGTCCTCATCTGCAATGAAAAAATCCCGAGATTATATTCATTGCCAAAAATATCTATTAAATAAACATTGTGTTTTATATAACAGAAAATTAAAAGCATCAAACTGTGTTATCAATGTCAAGTTAGTCAGGAAAAAAAGTAATCTACTGAAATGTAAGATACTAACACTCTCATGATACCTCACAGTAGTTTTCCAGGTTTATCATATATAGAAATCAAACCTTTTAATCTTAACATTTATCGTTAAATTTTTTTCCTTCTTGAAATCCCGTCATTAACAGAGCACACGGCCTATGATTTCAGTATTACTTGAAAATAATTCATCATAATACTGTTTTATCCTACTTTAAAAAGCACAGCTATTCTGAGCAAAAAGCTTTTCTAAACTTTTTAAAAACAAAATGCCATACCTTAACATGGCATTTACATCACATTTCTAAAATAATCTCACTAAATGTAGAAATAATTTTTGATTTTAATATGCTACCCTTCCTTAATACTGAAATTCCTCATTCTGAGTAAGCAAATCTTTTATAAGGTTATTTATAGACACTATTCTTCCATTAGAAAGAAAAAAGGACTGGATTCAAAGTTGTCAGACATTTGCATTTCAAAACATACAACTTGATTTCTAGCTCAATGAATTATAACAAAAAGTCCTAAACCTGCTAAACGGAAAGAAAGTCTTTAATGTATGATACAGAGTATGAAATTTAAATTTACTTCCAATTCAAACTTTGTAAGTTCAGTAATTCCATACTTCTTAGGATGAATTAAAATAGTGATTCAATTATTCATATTGAATTCAAGTCTCCTGCCACTATTATAAGCAAATAAATGTCAGAATAAAAACTACAAAAGGCTGGGCATGGTGGCTCACGCCTGTAATCCCAGCACTTTGGGAGGCCAAGGTGGGCGGATCACAAGGTCAGGAGTTTGAGACCATCCTGGCCAACATGGTGAAACCCCATCTCTACTAAAAATACAAAAATTAGCCGGGTGTGGTAGCGGATGCCTGTAATCCCAGCTATTTGGGAGGCTGAGGCAGGAGAATCGCTTGAACCCGGGAGGCAGAGGCTGCAGTGAGCCGAGATCATGCCACTGCACTCCAGCCTGGCGACAGAGCGAGACTCCGTCTCAAAAACAAAACAAAACGAAACAGCAAAAAAGAATAATGTCAATTTTCTCTAATCATGTATTTGTTTGACCATGGAAAATTGACAAAAATATATAGGCATTTTTTTAAAAGATGGATGTAACACTAGGCCAAATTCCTGAGCCCCCAGCTAGACAAGGTGGAAAAAGAAAAAGAACACTGACCTCAGCTGTGATGTCAGGCACAATCTCTTATTGTATGTTTGCCCTAGAACAGTTTTTTACCACTTTACTCCCAGCTTACTCATTTGTAAATGGGGGTAATTTCACTCCCCCTCACAGGGTTTCAAGGATCTAATGAAAAATCTGTGGAAGTACTTCATAAGCTATAAAGTGCTAATCAAATGTAAAGCCATTATACTCTCATAGACTAGAACTCAAACTTTTATGTTATGTGACTACTGAAATACCTTCATCATTAAAGGCTTCATGTTGAGGTAACTGCAAATTGTTCATCCTTGCTTTTCCCACTTAAAAAAAAAAAGGCAGAATAAATTATCCTTCAAAAGCCACTGAACAGCTTATCTCAATTATATACTAAACTGTTAGTAAAAGTAGGCTGTCAGAAATTTTATTAATTATCAAACCTACATGTGAGTAAAGGTTTAAGAAATGAAAAAGATTTTATTAATTAATTTTATATCTTAATAGAAATTACCATAAAAGGGCCATTCATAATTTATAATGCACTTAGCAAGCATGTAAACAAACTATGGATAACTTCCTAATATTCTTTCCAATGATAATATTGATCTATTCTAACTTTAAAGAAATGTAGTAGGCTTCTGATTAGAGATGGTAAATTAAATACACGCATTTACAAGAAGAACAAACTCATAGGACAAAGAGAATGGGAGCAAATAAGACAGCAAGAAACTTTTTGGAACATGGAAAGCAAATGGAAGAGCAGTGAGTGTATAACTATACCCAAGTAAGTGGAAGTTTAAGCCAGCAGAAGAGTGAAACCAAGAAACAACCAACTTGTTCCCCTGATGGCTCTGGGTTTGGGCATACTGAGTACCACTGAAAGTTGGAGTGAAGGGAAGACTGAACCAGGAAGCTGCCTAAATATGTTTTTACAAAAATAGTTAATATGCCAGGTCCTCCTTTAAATTTGCACAGCTGGGTAGTTCCCTCTTTCCCAAAGAGGCATGGAAGTTTCGTCTCTAAAAGTTTACCAGAGATACTTTGACTGAAGGATACCAGGTTCAACTGTGGGCAGGGGTAATGTATTCAAAACAGAGGCATTATATGTATCATTTTCCTCTTCAAAGAGATAAAACATTCCATTCATGAAATAAGAATGGGATGCTGTATAAAAGCAATATGCAATGTTCAAAAATTCTTAGAAATTAAAAAGAGCAAAAATCTTTTTAAAAAACTAACAGACGGCATGTGGAGAGTCAAAGAGCAGACCCACCTAACCCAGCCCCTGCCTGGCTGTGCCCCTCCACAGCTTAACAAAAACGACATAAACTTTTGGGAGTTTTATAACCCTGCCCAGGTGTGAGAAGCCAGAATACCTCCCCTGGGCAACACAGGGAAAGCTCAATTACCACTGCTACTACTGCAGCTGGTGCTCTTTTGCAAGCAGCACCTCCTGATTAGAGGCCAACTGACACAGTCCATTATATCATCTCTAGGTAGAATAACGCTGTGCCCAGAAAACCAGTGCCTGACCTCAGCTATCACCACTGCCTGCAACACCCTAGCTGACCAGTGGTCCTGAATCTGTCTACGTGACAAGTTCACAACTATCATAACCAACACGCAAGAAAGCCAGCACCCTAAGCCTATCTACAACCAAGGAATCTCAGGAGTCCCAGATCTTTCCACTGGTGGGAAGTTTCTTTCAGCAGAGACACAATTGCAGTGCTAGGCTCAGCAGGGAGTCTACCCCATCACCCCAACAGTCAGGCAAGCTTAGTGCTCATGAAGGGTCTTGGAGAAGGGGTCTTATTTCCCCTTGTCCACCACTGCAGACACAGCTGGGACTTCTCCCACAGGACTCGGTATGAGTGTGCCTATAGACAGCCTTCCTGGAACACTTTAGGGTGACTGCTTCCCCACAGGAGGAGCACTCCCCAGATGCAGGCTTGCATGAGAGGCAGAGTCACAATTCCTATCTACTTGGATAGCATTCTCACCCTTCACCCTGATAAGACCTCACTGCATTTAACTGAGAGCTCCCCCAGCCACCTTCATCAAGGCTGGGACCTGTGCCCACCAGTGGGTATTGCATTCACCCACCTACCTTAGCCACAGTAAGTTCCTACCCAGGGATACCTCCCCTAATGGCCTGAAGCCTGAACTATCAACTCAGTAAACAAAATACTGGAGAAAAATTAAATAAATGAAAAAGTACACACCACAGGGGAATGAGATAAGCTTCAAGAGACCTCTGCCATTCCAACCCCACAGGAGACAGCGAACTTGCCGACACACTGAGTACACAGCTACTACAACCAGCAACTGAGGAAGCCATCATACAAAGACTCTCTATAACCAAAGAACTTATAAAGACTCTTCACCCCTAAAAGCACCAAGAACCAAATTAAACTATAACAAATTATAATCATTAAGGTCACATTCTTAAGAGGGGAAAAAAATTTTAAAAAAAACACACATAGTCAAATCAAAAATAAATTTGAGAACAATTAGAATAGTCTACCCAAAAAAGAAGGAACCAGAAAGTAATTCTAGTAATATGACAAAACAAGGTTCTATAACACCCTCAAAAGATCACACTCACTCTCCAGTAACTGATCCAAACCAAGATGAAATCTTTGAAATACCAGATAACAAATTCAGAAGGTTGATGATTAAGCTACTCAAGGAGCTACCAGAGAAAGGTGAAAACCAACATAAAGAAATTAAAAAAAAATTCAGGATATGAATGAAAAATTTCCCAGAGAGATAGATATCATAAAGAAAATGCAATCAGAACATCTGGAAATAAAAAACACACTTAGAGAAATACAAAACGTAGTGGAAAGTTTCAAAAATAGACTAGAACAAGTAGAAGATAGCTGCATGCCAGGTCCAAGAGGGAGGAAAAAGCAGAAAAAAGAATTTCAGAGCTCAAAGACAAGGCTTTCGAATTAACCCAATCAAACAAAAATAAAGAAAAAAGAATCAAATGAAATGAACAAAGTCTCCAAGAAATATAGGATTATGTAAACAACCAAATGTAAGAATAAATGGTGATACTGAGGGAGAAGAAAAGGCTAAAAGTTTGGAAAATTCCTTTGAGGGAATAATTGAGGAAAACTTCCCTGGCCTTGCTAGAGATTTAAATATCCAAATACAAGAAGCTCAATGAACTCTTAGGAACTTCATTGCAAAAAGATCATCACCAAGGCACATAGTCATCAGGTTATCTAAAGTCAACATGAAGGAAAGAATTCTAACAGTTGTGAGGCAAAAAGCATCAGGTAACTTACAAAAGAAAAACAACTAGACTAACAACAGACTTCCCAGCAGAAACCTTACAAGGCAGAAGGCATTGGGGTCCTATCTTTAGCCTCCTTAAACAGAACACCTATCAGCCAAGAATTTTGTTAGTTTAGCAAAACTAAGTTTCATAAATGAAGGAGAAATAAAGTCTTTTTCAGACAAACAAATGCTGAGGAATTTGTCACTACCAGACCAGCACTACAAGAAATGCTAAGTAGGAGTTCTAAATTTTGAAACAAAAGCTTGATATGCAACAAAACAGAACCTCTGAAAGCTTAAAACTCACAGGGCCTATAAAACAACACAACGGAAAAAACAAAGTATCTAAGTAACAACTAACACAGTGAATAGAACAGTACCTCACGTCTCAATATTAACATTGAACGTAAATGGCCTAAATGCTCCATTTAAAAGATATGGAATGGCAGAATGGATTAAAAACCACAAACCAAATATCTAATGCACAAAGATTCATATAAGCTCAAGGTAAAGGGGTAGGAAAAGATATTCCATGCAAATGGAAACCAAAAGCAAGCAGGAGTCTTATATCAGGCAAAACAGACTTTAAAGCAACAACTATTTAAAAAAAGACAAAGGTCATCATATAACGATAAAAAGGTCAGTCCAACAAGAAGGTATTACAGTCAGTCCTACATTTATATGCACCTAACACTGGAGTTCCCACATTTATAAAACAATTACTACTAGACCTGAGAAATGAAGTAGACAGCGACATAATAATAGCGAGTGACTTCAATACTCCACTGACAGCACTAGACAGATCGTTAAGACAGAAAGTCAACGAAGAAACAATGGACTTAAACAATACTCTAGAACAAATGGACTTAACAGATATTTACAAAACATTCTACCCAACAATTGTAGAATATACATTCTTCTCATCATTTCACATGGAACATTTTCCAAAATAGACCACATGACAAGCCACAGACAAGTCTCAATAAATTTAAGAAAATCATACCAATTATCTTCTCAGACCACAGGGGAATAAAACTAGAAATCAACTCCAAAAGGAATCCTCAAAACTATACAAATACATAGAAATTAAATAATCTGCTCTTGAATGATTTTAGGGTTAACAATGAAATCAAGATGGAAATTCAAAAATTCTTTGAAATGAGTAACAGTGACACAAGTTATCAAAACCTCTGGGATACAGCAAAAGCAATGCTAAAAGTTTATAGCATTAAATGCCTACCTTAAAAAGTCTGAAAGAGCACAAACTGACAACCTACTATCACACCTCAAGGAACTAGAGAAACAGGAACACCACGGAATACTAATCCTCCATTAAAAGGAATGAAATAATGTCTTTTGCAGCAACTAAGATGGAGGTGGAGGTCATTATTCTAAATTGAGTAACTCAGGTATGAAAAATCAAATACTGCATGTTCTCACTTACCAGTGGGAGCTAAGCTATGAGGACACAAAGACATACAGAGTGATACGATAGACTGTGGGGACTTGGGGTGGGGGAAGGGATAAAAGTCTACATGTTGGGTACAGTGTACACTGCTTGGGTAACAGGTGCATTAAAATCCAGAATTCACCACTATAGAATACATCCATGTAACCAAAACTACCTGTACCCCAAAAGCTATTGAAATAAAAATTTTAAAAAACACAAAAGATAGAAGATAAAAATTAGTAACCCTTTCAAATTTAAAGACAGAGATGGAAAACAGGAGAGGTAAGATAAAAAATAAAATCATGTCCAACATCTGAATAGGAGCCCTAGAAAGAGGAAATAGAGAAAGGAGAGAAATTTTTTTTTTTTGGCCTCCCAGACTTAAGCAATTCTCATGCCTCAGCCTCCCAAGTAGCTGGAATTACAGGTGTGCACTAACACACCCAGCTAATTTTTTTGTAACAGAGACAGGGTTTCATCATGTGACCCAGGCTGGTCTCAAATTCCTGGCCTCAAATGATCTGCCTGCCTTGGCCTCCCAAAGTGGCTGGGATTACAAACATGAGCCACTGTGCCTGGCCAGGAGAGGAAATTTTTGACTGAATAATTCAAGAAAATGTTCCAGAAGTGAGAATTTTCCAGATTGAAAGGTCTATGGAGTACCAGCAAAATGAATAAAAAAAATAATACTCTCTCAGAGGCACATCATAAAATTTCAGAACATTAGATATGAAGAGAAGATCCCAAAAGCTGCCAGAAAGAAAACACCACACATAGAAGATCCAGAATAAAAGGAGCATCTGACTTCTTAACATTAACGATGGAAGCCAGAAAAGAGCTGAGCAATGCCTACTAACACTAAAGGAAAGTCATTTCTGACTGTGAATTCTACACCCAGGCAACATTTGGCAATGTCTGGAGACATTTTTGGTTGTCACATCCAGAGAAGAGGTGCTACTGTCATCTATCTAGTGGATTCCCTGTATGTGTATGAATAAGAACTTGAGAGATATCTCACACATATATAACAGCAAAAAGTGAACTTAGGTGCAGCACAATTGGTCCCAAGGAGGGAGTTTTCCTATTTAAAGAAATTTTATTAATACATTAACCAAAAATACTAAATAACTGATTTATTAACATAAAATGCATTCTTAGACTTTGTACCTATCAGCATAACACTTTATTTTAAAAGACAAAAAATTAAAACCAAAATAATTACCATTGTGCTGAAACTCTGGATCTCTAAGAGAGCCCTGAATTCGTCGAGAGGGATGCCAGTAGGATGGAACATGTGGTGGAGAAGGCAACTGTCCAGGGGGATTTGTTGGGTATTTTGGAATTTTTGAAACTGGAAGAGTTGCCTCAGCAAATTTGTGGATATTGTCTTCAGAATCTTCCCGCAAAGGCAGAGGATCAACTGTTTTTATACCAGCAGCTGGAGAAGTCAGTAGGGATACAGCACGACTTTCTTTCTAAATGACAAAAAAAAAAAAAAAAAAAAGATGCCTATGTGTAGATATGTAAATAAATAAGCCAAACATTTAAATGCAAAAAACATAACCAAAAAGCAGAAGGAGAAATATGAGAGAATTTATGCAACATCTATGTGGGGAAGATATGATATAGACAAACAGACCTGGCTATATAAACAAAATACGTAGACATTTTAAAAATTAAAAGAAAAATGCAGAACTTGGAAAAAATACAACTTTTATGACTGACAATGAATTATCATTGCTGCATAAGTATTTCTTTAAAAACAGTAAGAAAAATATAAACCTAATTAAAAAGTAGAAAAAGGATATGAATAAGCAATTCATATAATGTACACACAAATCACAAACAGCAAACGTATTCTTCCTTACTAATGATCAAATAATTATAAAATGAAAGCACTGAGATATTAATTTTTCACGTACCAAATTTCAAAAATTAATTTTTAAAAGCACAATGATACCAGAGCTGGCAAGGATGTAGAGAAACTGGCAACCTCATAGACTGCTATTGGGAGTACAATCTTTCTGGGGGGCCGGCAAAACATAGCAGAAGCCTTAAAATTTAGCATTCTTTGACTTCTTTGACTACACAATAATACTTGGGGAGTACTCACAAACACAAAATAATATAAACAAAAATGTAGTTACAGATGGATTTCTTTACAGTATTTCTTCAAAACAGACTAAGAAATAACAATAGAAATTTGAGTAAAAATTAGATTTTAACAATAAGCATCTGGTTTTAAAAAACTGTGGTGTAACTATAGATTGCACGTCGCCATAAAAATAAGATTATGAATATTTCATGATGTGAAAATATGTTAACAGTGCTAAAAATAGATTATAAAACCTTTCTACACTATGATAAATAAATAACCAAATATACTAACACATATATACCTAAATACCTCAAAAATTTAACAGTGGATGTCCCTGAACAGTACATGTGAGATATTTACCTTCTTTTTTAGTTTGGTCAGTATTTGCTGTTTTCCACAATGACTATGTATCACTGTCCTAGAAGTCAAGAACAATTTTACTTTTTAAAAGAAGGCAGCTAGCTGGACACACTGGCTCATGCCTGTAATCCTAGCAATTTGGGATACTTGGGTGGCCAAGGCACAAGAATTGCTCGAGCTGGGGAGGCAGAGATTGCAGTAAGCCATGATTGCATCACTGCACTCCAGCCAGGAAACGGAGAGAGACTGTCTCAAAAAATAAAAATAAAAATGGTCCAGGTGCAGTGGCTCATGCCTGTAATCCTAGCACTTTGGGAGGCCGAGACGGGAGGATCACTTTAGGCCAGGAGTTTGACCAGCCTGGTCAACACGGCGAGACCCCATATCTATTTATTTAAAAAAAAAATTAAATTAAATTAAAAACAAAACAAGGCAAACCAGTAAAATCAAATACAGTTCCAAACTTTCCTGATTATTTCTTGTAATTGTTGCCTTCACTTATTATCTTTGATTCTATCAATGTAACATTCAAAACATTGCTTTCTAAACTTAGATATCATTTTCTGTGATTGCAGAGCTTATTGCTTCAAACTGGCCTAGGGCTGTTAGTCTCAACCAATAAACATACTTCAAATCAATATGAAGGATAAAACCACAAATCTTCCACTTGTTTTCCTTTTTAAACAAGTATCACTTAGTACAATACAAATAATTCCAAAGAGAAATTGTTCTTTTTTTTTCCTTTTTCTATATATATGAACAAAATTTGTGATCTCTGTAAAACTGGTTTTACAATTGCTGAAAACACCGGAAAGAAACCTGTAAAATAAAAGACATGGGGTTCCCAGGTTTAACGTAACTGATTCTGCGATCTGTTTTTGAGCCTAAATCCTCAAAAGGCCAATAGGCCTCACTGCTCTACTCAGCCCTGTGTACAGCAGTTCTCCACTGAGGAGCCACAGTGACTTGATTTGCCCTGTGAATCATATCCTATTTGCTTTGTTGCTTCTGATATTCCAGAGGTTTCCCAGTGACATCAGAATAACATCCAAGAGAATAAACCCCACTTGATTATAATGAATTATCTTTTTGATGTGCTGCTGGATTCAGTCTGATAGTATTTTGTTGAGGATTTTTGTGTCTACCTTCATCAGGAATATTGGTCTACAGTTTTCTTTTTTTGTTGTTGTGTCCTTGCCAGATTTTGGTATCAGGATGATACTGGTTTCGTAGAATGTGTTAAGGAGAAATCCTTTCTCTTTGATTTTGGGGAATAGTTTTAGCACATAAACAGAATTAAAAACAAAAACCATATGATCATCTCAATACATGTAGAAAAAGCATTTGATAAAGTCCAATATCCCTTCATGATAAAAATCCTCAACAAACTAGGCAATGAAGGAACATACCTCTCAAAATAATAAGAGCCATCTATGACAAACCCACAGCCAATATCA
Organism: Homo sapiens; assembly: GCF_000001405.40. Taxonomy (NCBI): domain Eukaryota; kingdom Metazoa; phylum Chordata; class Mammalia; order Primates; family Hominidae; genus Homo; species Homo sapiens. The sequence goes on from NC_000012.12 coordinate 68,305,313, forward strand.
TACTGAATGGGCAAAGGTGAAAGCATCCCCCCTAAGAACAAGACAAGGATGCCCACTCTCACCACCTCTATTCAACATAGTACTGAAGTCCTACCCAGAGCAATCGGGCAAGAAAAAGAAACAAAAGGCATCTAAATAGAAAAAGAGGAAGTCAAATTATCTCTGTTCACTCACAATATGATTCTAAACCTAAAAAAACCCTAACAATCCCTCCAAAAGACCTGATAAATGACGTTAGTAAAGTTTCAGGATACAAAAATTAACGTACAAAAATCAGTAGCATTTCTACAAACCAATAATTCAAGCTAACAACCAAATCAAGGATACAGTCCTGTTACAATGGCCCCCCAAAAATAAAGTACCTAGGAACACAGCTAACCAAGGAGGTGAAAGATCTCCCCATGAACTACAAAACACTGCTGAAAGAAATTATAGATGACATAAACAAATGGAAAAGCATTCCACGCCCATGGATCGGAAGAATCGATATTGTTAAAATTGCCATACTGTCTAAAGTAACTTACAGATTCAATGCAATTCCTATCCAATTACCAATGTCATTTTTCACAGAATTAGAAAAAGCAGTTCTAAAATTCATAAGGAAGCAAAAAAAAAAAAAGGGCCCAAAGCAATCCTAAGCAAAAAAAAAAAGGAAAAAAAAAAGAACAAAGCTGGAGGCATTACATTACTTGACTTCAACCTATTACTATAAAGTTACAGCAACCACAACATCATGGTACTGGTAAACAAACAGACAGACTAATGGAACAGAAAAGAGAACTCAGAAATAAAGCCATACACCTACAGCTATCTGATCTTTAACAAAGATGACCAAAAAAAATGAACAATGGAAAAAGGACACCCTATTCAATAAATGGTGCTGGGAAAACTGGCTGGCCATATGTAGAAGAATGAAATTGGACCCCTATCTCTCACTATATACAAAAATTAACTCAAGATGGATTAAAGACTTCAATGTAAGACCTCAAAGTACAAAAATCCTAGAAGAAACCCTAGAAAAAACTCTTCTGGACATTGGCTAAGGCAAGGAATTTATGACTAAGTACTCAAAAACAAATGTAACAAAAACAAATTGACAATTGGGACTTTTGCACAGCAAAAGAAACTATCAACAGAGTAAACGGACATCTTACAGAATGGGAGAAAATATTTGCAAACTACATATCTGACAACGGACTAATATCCAGAATCTATAAGGAACTTAACAAGAAAAAAACAACTCCATTAAAAAGGGGGCAAAGGACATGAACAGACACTTCTTAAAAGAAGACAAAGCAGCCAACAAACATGAAAGAATGCTCAACATTGCTAATCACCAGAGAGATGCAAATCAAAACCATAATGAGATATCATCTCACACCAGTCAGAATGACTATTACCAAAAAGTCAAAAAATAACAGATGTTGGCAAGGATGCAGAGAAAAGGAAACGCAACCCCTTTGGAAAGCAATATGAAAATTTCTCAAACAACTAAAATTAGAACTACCATTCAACCCAGCAATCTCACTACTGAGTATCTACCCAAAGGAAATCATTCTATGAAAAAGACCTGCACTCATAGGTTTATTCCAGCACTATTCACATTAGCAAACTCATGGAATCAGCCTAGGTGCCCATCAATAGTGGATTAGATAAAGAAAATGTAGTACATATACACACCATAGAATACTGCGCAGCCATAAGAAAGAATGAAATCATGTCCACTGCAACAACATGGATGCAGCTGGAGGCCATTATTCTAATTGAATTAACACAGAAACATAAAGTCAAATACTGCATATTCTCATTTATAAGTGGGAGCTAAACAAGAGGTACACACAACATAAAGATGGAAACAGACACCAGCAACTACAAAAGGGGGAGAAGAGGGAGGGGTGCAAGAGTTGAAAACCTACCTATTGGGTACAATGTTCACTATTTGGGTGATGGGTTCAATAGAAGCCCAAACCCCAGCATTACACAATATACCAATGTAACAAACTTGGACATAAACGCTCTGAATCTAAAATAAAATTCAGGCTGGGCACAGTGGCTCAAGCCTGTAATCATCCTACCACTTTGGGAGGCCAAGAAGGGAGGACTGCTTGAACCCAGGAGTTTGAGAACAGCCTGGCAACACAGCGAGATCCCCAACTCTACAAAAAATTTTTTTTAAAAATTAGCCAGGCATGGTGGCACATATCTGTGGTCCCAGCTACTCAGGAGGCTGAGGTGGGAGGATTGCCTAAGCCCAGAAGGTTGGGGCTACAATGAGCCGTGATTGCACCAATGCACTCTGGCCTGGGCAACACAGCAAGACCTTGTCTCAAAAAGCAAAAAATGGGCCAGATGTGGTGGTTGTAACCTGTAATCCCAGCACTTTGGGAGGCCGATGCAGGTGGATCACTTGAGGCCAGGAGTTCAAGACCAGCCTGGCCAACATGGCAAAACCACATCTCTACTAAAAATACAAAAATTAGTCAGATGTGGCCACAGGTGGCTATAGTCTCAGCTATTTGGGAGGCTGAGGCATGAGAACTGCTTGAGCCTGGAAGGCAGAGGTTGCAGTGAGCCAAGATCGCACCACTATACTCCAGCCTGGGCAACAGAGCAAGACCCTGTCTCAAAAAAAAAAAAAAGTGAATATAAAATTAAATTAAAAAAAAAAAAAAGAATAACATCTAAGATCCTTACTCGGCCTCCCTTTCTAATCTCATTTCCTGCCCTCTCCCCTTCCCTCTCCAGGCTCCAGCCACACTTTTAATCTCTCTGGGTTCTTGCCCTAGGGAAAAACACTTGCACTTGCTGTTCCTTCTTTTTTTTTTTTTTTTGAGATGGAGTCTCACTCTGTCGCCCAGGCTGGAGTGCAGTGGCGCGATCTCAGCTCACTGCAACCTCCGCCTCCCGGATTCAGGCAATTCTCATGCCTCAGCCTCCCAAGTAGCTGGGACTATAGGCGTGTGCCACCATGTCCAGCTAACTTTTGTAATTTTAGTAGAGACAGGGTTTCACTGTGTTGGCCAGGCTGATGTTGAACTCCTGACCTCAAGTGATCCACCTGCCTTGGCCTCCCAAACTGCTGGAATTACAGGCATGAGCCACTGCGCCCGGCCCCTGTTCTTTCTAATTGGAAAACAATCTCTGCCCCAGATCTCTGCATGGGCACCTTCCTCATCAGTCAGGTCTCAGCTAAAACGTCATCTCCTTAGAGGTGCCTGTCCTGATGGCCCAAACTAAAGCTGTCTTACCCATCCCTTAGAGACCTGTAGTCTTATTTAATTCACAGCGCTTACTACTATGTGAAATTATTTTCTTAAAAAATTGTCTATTCCTCCCAATGAAAATGTAAGCTTCATGAAGGCAGGGATTTTGACCTGATTATCAATAAATCCTCAGATCCTAGAACAGTGCCTGGCACTTGGTAAGAGCCTATTAAATATTGAATTGAATGAATGAAAATAAAACTACCCTCCAAAGAGGCTCCTTGTCCAGAGTTCTCTTGCTCAGTGCATGGTACCTCCATCAATCTTGTTGGGCAAGCCAGAAACTTAGCAGGCATCCCTGTCTCTCATCCATTATCCAACCCAGCATCAACCTTAACATTGTTCCCCTTACATAATTGTGCAGTTTCATCCACTTCTGTCTATTCCTACCCTCCTTCATCCAAGCTACCAACACCTCCTACGTGGACTACTGCAATGGCCTTTTAAGGGCATTCACAGCCTACTCTTGCCTCCTATGGCAGCCGGACAGATCTTGCAAAACATATATCCATCACAATTCCCATACTGAAAATATTTCAATGGCTTCCCATTGCTCTTGAGATAACGAAAGAAATCCCAATGTTGCCATGTTTTCCAGCCTCATGTTGTACCAGGCTCCCTGCCACACACTGTATTGGTCTTTGTTTCCTCAAACTCTACATTGTTTCTCTCCACAAGATCTTGGCATATGCTAGGCTCCTTCTCCCCATCCTTTTTTCCTGGTTAATGCTTCCTCTTCTCCTTTATCTTAGCTCAATTATGAGTTTTTCAAAGAAGCATCATTGACTTCCAAGAAGGTTTCTGATCTCCATGATTAGAACAATTCCTTCCAGAATAGTGCTAAGTACTTTTATTTTGAAACTCTTATTAGTTTTAATTTCATTTCTTTTTTGGTGTGATTAACATGTATCTCCCTTACCAGACTGCAGGTTTCATAAGATTATGTACCATGTCTGTTTCTATCCATTATCATTGCCATAGCATGTGGGTAAATCTGCTAAATGAATGAAGTGAGCAAATCCACACTTGGGTTTTTAATATAAAGATTTGAAAATGTTTCCTGATGATCAAACCAATATGAGAATTCTACCCTAAAGTTTTGGGACATACTGATAATTTATTGGAAATTGAATGACCTATGGGTTTAATTTTATACATAATAATAACGTAATTTCTTATCAATGCTTTTATAAGAGAATATAAGGGGAAAAACTGATGGTGTATATCAAAGTTTAGTGACTCCTCTGCCTACCAGTAACCAAGGGGTAGACACTGGGAAATAACCAAATCTAGCTAGCTCCTGGTATAGTCCCTGGTAGTGCTGGTCGCAGAAAATTCACATGGAAGGATATCCAATCAAGTTGTCAATAATAAACTTGTGTACGTATGTACATATGTATGTATTTATTGGTTTGGAGAGAGTCTTCCTCTGTCTTCCAGGCTGGAGTGCAGTGGCGTGATCTCAGCTCACTCCAACCTCCACCTCCTGGGTTGAAGTGATTCTTGTGCCTCAATCTCCCAAATGGCTGGGATTACAGGCATCTGCCACCACGCCCAGCTAATTTTTGTATTTTTAGTAGGGACAAGATTTCCCCATGTTGGCCAGGCTGGTCTTGAACTCCTGGCTTCATGTGATCCTCCCACCTTGGCCTCCCAAAGTGCTGGGATTATAAACATGAGCTACCGCACCAGGCCAGAAACTTATTTTAGAGGAGTTGGTAATTAAAATGTTAAAAGTGTATAGTACTCACAGTGAGACAGAGAATGGCATTAACATTCTAAGGGATGATATTACTCTATTTAGATTATTCAATAAATTAATTCCACAGTAAGTGAAAATAATACATATAAATCCAGCCACAAATATGGATGAGTCACTCGTTTTGGCTGAATCAGCTGTGTGTATACAGTTGCCTAAAAGCTCACACCTTCCAGATGGCAGCCTGGATTTCTAAGGAGGAGTAAAACAGTCCATTAAGATCTGATTCTCATGAGTCCTCTGACCATATTCCTAATGTCACATTTCCTTTAATAAACCAGTGTATACATAAGCAACAGGAAATAGTTTTGATATTCTGTCACTCCAATAACATTCATTCAATCTGTTACGTGCTATGAGCTGGACTCTGTTCTAAGCACTGGGGATTAAGAGGTAGAGGGTGCTCTGATCCCATCTCCCACCTGTTCCCAATCCCTGAAAACTCCTACTTTGTACTCAAATTCACAAACAGCCATCAGCAAAATTCCCTATAGATTTTCAACCTTTTCTCTGAATGTTCTCTATTCTACTCCAACCACTTACACCCATGATGTTAAGTTAAGCCTTGTCATTACTGGTAACTGCAACCTCTCCATAACCTAAATTTCTGACCACCATTTCCTAACTTTAAAACTAATCCCCACAGGTGCCCCAATTCCAACAAGTCTTTTATTTTACCTAGACCATCCATCCACCGATCCTATCACCTCTGCACTCTTCTCAAGTCCCAGTGTCCTTCCCTCACCAACTCATTATAATCCCTTCTTCATATATACCTCAACTCCATTCCCCTTTTTCTCACTTTGTCTTATTCTCATGACAAATTCAAAACCCTAGGTAAATCCAACTCTATCTGATAAAAGTATCCTGCACTTCTGCAGCCAAACATTACTGGAGAAGGGCACACAACCCTTCCTGACTGGTCTTCTGCCAACTTTGTGACCACCAACTTAAAATGGCCCCTTAACATTGGCCTAAAATATCCCACATTCCCCTGGCCCACTCACTCTCCCACTCTCTGAGAAGACTACTCTATGCCTTCACTTTCCTCAAATCTCCAACATCTTCCCCAGCCTTATTCTCAGTAAGGATCTTTCTTCACATGTCACCAAGAAGCAATAAGAAGAGGTCTTCCAAAAGCTGCCATCACATCTTCCTACATTCATCAGCAGTGCCTGCCCATGAATTCTGCTTTCCCTCTTTTAACAATAAAGAAACAATCAGTGTCTAAAGCCAACCCTTCCATATCTCCACCAGATCCTAAGCCCTTTCTCCTACTCAAGAGCATCTTTCCAACAACTTTCCCCTCACTCCTGCATCATCAACTTTTCTCTCTCCAAAATTATTCTTGTCAACATACAAACATGCTGTTGTGTCTTCCATCTTGTTCTCACTTCTCTCAACTACTCCTGCATTACTCTGCTTCCCTTCTTGGAAAAGAAACTTCAGAGAATTATCTGTGGCAGCTTTCTCCAATTCTTCTCCTCTTTTTTCTCTTGAATTCACTTGCACTTAGGCTTTTGTCCCTTCCTTCCACCAAAACTGCCCTTTATCAAGGTCACCAAAGACCTCCACGTTGCTAAATCTGATAAGCAATTGTCCTATCTTACTCACCTATCTGTAGCATTGACTCTCCCTCCTCCTTGACACCTCCAGGATACCAGTCTCGTTTGTCACCACCTCACTGGCTGCTCTCCTTCAGTCTCCTTTGCTGACTAGTCCTCAACTTCCCAATATCAAAAAACTGGGGTTTAGACCTGTCTACAACTATTCTTCTCTGTCTACACCCACCCCCTTGATGATTTCCTCCAGTCTCAATACTTTAAAAACCTGACCCACCTAAGCTATAAAGAGCCTCAAATCTGTACCTATAGCCCAACTTCTCCTCTACACTCCAAACCTATATAGTCAGTTCCCTATTCAACATGTCTACTTGTATGTCTAATAAGCTTCTCAAATTTAGAGTGTCCAGAACGGAATTCTTGATCTTCTCCAACTCAGTTAAATGGCGACTCCATCCTTATTGCTAAGGCCAAAAATCTTGAGTCACCCTTGATTTTTCTCTTTCTCCCACCCCAGATCTTATCCATCAGCAAATCTTGTTGGCTGTACCTTCCATGTGTATCCAGAATTGAACTTTATATGACCTTCACTGCCACCACCAAGGTCCAAACAACCATCACCTCCTGCCTGGATAGAGTAAGTGACTCCCAACTGTTTTTATGCCCCAGCTCTTGCTCTACTACTACCTATTCTCAACACAGCAGCCAGAAAGACCTTGGAAAAAAACTAAATAAAATCATGTCACTCCTCTGCCTTTCCAATAGCTTGCCACTGCATACAGAAAAAAATTCAAAATCTTTGCTATGATTTACAAAGCCCTACACAATTTAGCACCCCATTATGTCTCTGAACCCATTATCAACACTACTCTCCCTCTCATTCTCTCTCTCTCTCTTCCAGCAACAGTGACCTTCTAGCTGTTCCTCAAGGGGGCAGGTACCCCCTTCACCTGAGGGATCTGCACTTACTGTTCTTGTCACCTAGACCTTCCCAGATCCGCATACAGGTCAATCCCTTACCTTTTTCAGATCCTGCTTAAATGCCACTCTCGCACCGAGGACTTCCCTGGCCACTTCCTGTTCACTTCAGCAGCTTTATTTTTCTCCTTAGCACTAATCAGTATCTAAAATACTATGTATTTTACCTGGTTATTTTGTTTATTGTCTCCCTCCTCCACTAGAATGTAAGTTCAATGATGGCTATGATTTTTGTCTGTTTGTTCTCTGCTATATCCCCAGCACTTAAAACAATGCCTGGAACATAGCTGGAATACAACTGTCACACAGCAGATGCTCAATGAAAGTATTGCTTTCTTTATCTTCCTATTGAGTCACTACTGACAAGGTTGAAAGTGTATCAACAAAAACGTAATGCTTCTAACAGAAAAAAAGTCAAGCCTTTTGCCTTACTAAAAGCAGGTTAACAGTATCATCTCCTCATATGATAGCCACAATTCTCTAAAATCTTAACCCATCATTCATTTATTACATGTGTCTACAATAATTAGTCCTAGATGAGATGCTTTTTTCCCCAAAACATGTTTACCTTAGTAAAATCATTCTTTGAAGTTTCTAAACAATCCTGAGAGGTCATTCTTTTCCTCTGTTCTGGGGCTGGAGGCTTCATCTTAGATGGAGACACTAAAACAGCACCACCTGGAAAAATAAAGATGACAGTTTCAATTACACTAAATTAACATGTAGAAAAAGCAGGTTAAATAAGAACTGCACGGTGTTTGCCGATTACCAACAGCTGGAGTAGTGAGATCATGATGAGTCCTCTGGATTCCACCAAGTTCTCTCAGCTTGGGAGTAGGAAGCCGGCCTCCTTTTTCTGAGGATACAGAAGAATCTGACCTATAAATTGAAACAATCTATGAATCTATACAGCATTTCCTCGAGAAAATATGATAAAAAATACTTTGCCATCATTGTGCAATAATAAAGTATAAAACTTGTAAGAGGCCAGGCGCGGTGGCTCACGCCCGTAATCCCAGCACTTTGGGAGGCCGAGGCGGGCGGATCAGGAGATCGAGACCATCCTGGCCAACATGGTGAAACCCCATCTCTACTAAAAACACAAAAACAAAATTAGCTGGGTGTGGTGGCGGGCACCTGTAGTCCCAGCTACTTGGGAGGCTGAGGCGGGAGAATGGCGTGAACCCAGAAGGCGGAGCTTGCAGTGAGCCGATATCGTGCCACTGCACTCCAGCCTGGGTGACAGAGCGAAACTCCGTCTCAAAAAAAAAAAAAAAAAACTTGTAAGAGAAGGCCATTTTGTTTCTGAAAAAAATAACCACCAAATCCACATGCAGTTAAAAGCGACTGAAATTTCCAATAATGAATAGAACTAAGCACAAGATCAAAAATAAAACAGAACACTGAAAAAATAATATAAGCTATATCAACTATATCAATAGAAGAAAAACAACCCACAAAGAAAAAAGTGACTGAATACTGGATAATGGGGAAAATCACTGCCAAGTCAGCACCGGCACAGCAGAGAATCCTTCCTCACATCAAGGCTCAAGTTCCATAACATCCATGAATGAATAAAGGATTTAGATTATAGACAAAAGGCACTATTATCATAGGTGGAGAAGAGCCACTCCCCAAAGCAATTTACACATAAAACAACAGGAATTAGCTATTTTCAGAAATCACTTTTTAAAAAATATTATAAAACATTATCTTTTTTGGTAGAATCATCTGATATTAAAGAACACCAGTTTTTTTCTTTAAAGTCATTCTTCCAGACACATTTGCAAATCTGGCACACCATAAATTATAGGACGTAAATGAAAATAATCCTAACTACTTCCTCCCAAAGTAGGCCAGAATTCAAGTATTCAATTACCAATCACTAGTGACTTAAATACCTGAGTGAATCAAATTATTCACCATACAGCAGTGCCTCCTTTGTGACATTGAAATAAAATCTGCAATTTATTAGTCATAAAATCAAAAGAGTAAACCACTATATTTAGTGACAAAATACATATCAACCATGTAAATAACGCTTCTCTATACTGAGTAATTTAAAACTCTCACCCTTCTTTCATCTTATCTGCCTTAGATTTCTCACGTACATCCAACTTCTCTTGCTCTCCCATAAAAGCCTGCTTGCCCGTTTTCCTGTCCCCTTCCTCTTCATTGTCGTCCTCCTCCTCTTTCTCCCCGGGCTGTTTCTGTACGTCTTCACTTGTGTTCTCTGTATCCCAAGCCAGCCGCCTTCTAACGGGTATGGTGGGAGCTGACACACCCAATTTCTCCGTGGTATTTTTCTGGGGCTGTTCTTCCACGATATTTCCTTTTTCTTCTGGTTCTGTAGAAGGACATTTCTGCAAAGTCTTATGGCTTGTAGGATCTCTGCGTAACAAAATCAATTTTATTTTAAATGTGAATAGTTTGCACTTTTCTAATCAACACCAATTTTAGTGAGTCCATCATTTCCTTCTACTGTTCACAACTACATGTTTTCCATAGATATTGCCTTGCTCAGGTATTGAAGAAGGAAATCTAATTCGTTTTATAGCAAAATAAATGAAAGTCATAATCTGGAGTTTCTATTAAAATATTCCAAAATGTATTTATCTTCTTTTACTCCTACCTTCACATATGCTTGTGTACATCTGCTGACACAAGTCATACCTAGCCCTAAACTGGCATTTACACACATAAACTAGGACCCCATGGTCTAAGTTCTTCAATTACTTTCACTTACAGATAATTAAATCATGTTCATTTTAACCCAGAACAGCAGAGCGCTCTTCCATAAAATCAGCAGCCAAGTTCTGAATTAGCCACAAAATCTATTAATGAATAATAGCTATGTATTAATAGCTTGCAGTCTCTACTTTTTTATTGTTGTTGACTTTCTTTTTACCTTCTAAAGGTCTTTTTACATCTACCATGTAATCATCCCTACTCCGCTATTAACTGCCAACAAAAAATATTATAAAAATCTAGCCTTCCAGATTTACATTATGTGTTATTTATACATAAATAAAGCAATCTACATTGCTTTATTTTTCACTGAGAATAAAAATGAAATAAATGGCTGCCACAATTCCATTCGACTAGGAGACACATTTTGAGTAGTCAGGTCATTTTCCTATATCATTCTATGATCTACATAAGCTTCAACAAACTTTTTTTGCCATCCACAAAGAATATCTCACCCAGCAAGATCTAATGCTCTGATGTTGCTACTAACGGTTCCTTCTGAGCTTGTGGTTGAGGAGACATCCCAACAGCAGTTGCTATCAGATAAAATCTGATTCAGATGGTCCCGAGAAAAATGCGTCCCCTGAACTCGCTTCCTATAAAACTCAGCCTTTTCTCGGAGTTCTTTAACCTATTCAGGAGAGTTCAGACATCATATACTATTGTAAATGCTTCTTTACAAACAGCACCAAGTAGCATATCAAAGACATTGCACAAATACAGCCAGGGACCAAAGACAAAGGAAGGCAAAATTAGCCACATACAGTCATCAGACTGTGCATTTAAGCAAAAACTAAAACAATCAAGCTAAAGCATGATGCAGTTATTTTATTTCAGACCAGCAGGCAGGGAGAAATTCATAGCAGCTAAGAAAAATATTGACACCTACTTTTTATTCCAACTGAAATTACACAAGTAATCTATGATTATAGTTTTTAAAAACTCAAAAGCAACCAACCTCAGCATACCACATGGCATTTAGAGAACCCTAGAGAAGGAATACAGAAACACACTTAATGATAGGTTAATGCCATAATTGAATATTAATGGGAATCAATGAAACACATTATTCTCCCTTCTAAATATCTACCAAACTTGTCAATCAATATTTCTTGGGATTTTTAGTAATTAGTTCAGTAACCAAGATACCTTATTATTATCTTGAAAACCAGCCACATTCTTGCATGGCTAGGATGCTGCTGATGACAGATAAATTAGGCAATCTAACTATTATTCCTATTTCCCTACCTCTGGAAGAGTACTTACACGCCAAAAATCCCTAACCCAGCTTTATTTCATGGCTTTGTATACAGCTACTACTGCTACAGAAGCCCTCACTGGGAGATGAATGAGGTTATGAGGCTTCCCTCTCCAAATTCCTCAATATTCCCTTGGAATCAGCAAAATCTCAACTTTTTTTTTTTTAAAAAAGTACTAAATATATAATTTAAAATAATAGCCCATAAAATCATAATTGCAATGTGTTCAACAAAGGGACAGGATAAAAAAGTTCTGCTGAATAATAAAGTGATATGAATTATTTAATATGCAAGTAACATTTTCTGATGAAAAAAGCAGCCTTCATACCCATTTGAAACCTTTCACTTTATACATCATACTGCCACCTGCTGGCTTCTCCAAGTACAATTCCACAATGTAAAAAAAATTAAGTTCAAGTTTTACCCTTAAAATTCTGTTCAGTATCTTTATTTAATCTCAAAAAACACTAATTTTTTAAATCATCAAGACAGAAAATCTTTATTCTAGAATTGCTTTTCTTTCAGGGCAAAAAAAAAAGCAAATAATGAAACAGCAATGTAAAAGCAATTGTAGAAACATAGCTCCTTAACAAGGTACGATTTTGAATGCAAAGATGAAAGTGTTACATCTCTAGGGAATTGGCCAAAGCAAAAGACAGCACCTATATGGCATAAGAAACCATATAATCCCAACAGAGTCCTACTCTAATGAACCATACCTGAAAAAAGTTCCTAAAGGATAATTTGAAATATTTTCTTCACTGCCAAAAAAAAAGCTATGTTCATTTATCATTTCTATCAACTCCTATACCTTTAAAGAAAATTTCTAGCAGTGGTTTTTGCATTTAACAGGTAGAAGTGAGGTACATGAATTAACTCTACTGAACTTCTAACCAGGGTATTCTGAATGCACAGGAACCTTGTTATAAAGTGCCTCGATATACTCCAGATTTTATTGCCAGTAAGTGCCCCCATGCTTCAAATGTTTCAGGGCCACTCCATCACCTACATGCCTCAGCATCACTTCCTCCTCTGTGTTCTCAGAGTTCTTTGGGCACATCCCCATTAATACATATTCAATTTTACTGGAATTAATTGCACATGCCCTCCTCCTCCATCAACCTATGAACTTCTTGAGGTGAGGGAAAACGCAGCACTTAAGCACTGAGCCCACAACCTGTCCTGAGTGCAGACTAAGTGGTATGCCTGAGCTAAACATGGCAGCCAAAGATAAGCAAGAAACTCCCTGCACTCAGTGAGCCAACCTGTACATAAATTGTCATAATATTGATGGGGGTCTATGCCATAATAAACAAATGAAATGAAATGTAAGTTGAAGGAGTAGTTCAAAAGGGGGACCAATCAGTCCTGCACTGTGTTGGGTAGATTGACGGGGCAGTGGGGGTGGAAGGGACAGCAGAGGCAGCTGCATCTATCCATGCATGATGAATGAAAGGATGGATGAATACCCTCCATGTACACAGTCATCCAGTTTTATTTGACGTCAATTTTATTTAGAAAGGAGGGGGAGAGTATACTTCATAAAAATTCTGAAGACTTTGATTTATTCAGTTCTATTTGTTACTGACATTTAAAACTAAGTGCTTTAAATTTACTATATCAACAATCTTTATTAATCTCAGTGCTAATATTATATTTTACAAATATGATTTTAAATATCTTTAGCCCTAAACTAAGATGAAAAATTAAAAGGCTGACATTTTCCAAAGTAGTATGTTCTACTAAAAAGAGGAGGAAAAAAATCAATAGCATGAACTCAATGTTAAATAGAACAATCCCTATAGCCAACTGCCAGAGCCACCAAAAAGGATAGAAATAAACCATTCCCAACTCAACAACATACACACACCTTTCTGGGCCAAGTAATGTTATCATATTATATATTATGATACAATTATAAGTAGAATGTTTCCTTTTCTGAATTTCTTTGTCCAAATTAAGAGTTCAACTAAATTATTTAAAACATATGCAGAAAATTCAAACTCAAGAAACTGGGGATAAAAACTCCTTTTACCCAAAAACCATCCCCCCAAAATGAGGGGTCACTTTATACCTAGTCTTTACAATGTCTGTCAAATTACAGGACATCTCTCAAATGCAGGACTTTATCTTGAAACACAGTCCTATTTGTGGAAGACACATTGGAATAAAATCACCTCAACCAATCGATGATGAAAAGATTACCTAACAATTAAGAAAAAAAGAAGTTTAACATAGATTAAGTAGTTATTCTGAGGATAGAACCTAAAAAGTTCTAATTGCTGACTATTAAGAAACAATCCCTTAAGTGAGCATTTTAAAAAGCAATAGTCAAGTGGTTATTATAATGGAGATGACAAATACACAACCACTGGGCAAATAAAACCAACCACCCTAATGCTCTATGAGAGGTAACTGGGACTTGGCATAGAATTTCCAGTGACTAGACTATAAACAGATTCAAAAAGTATATCTCAAACATAGAAAGAAATAAAGATGATATATGGACTCGAAAACTAATGTGACTCAAAAAGTGAGTTAATATTCCAACAACAAAGTCACTTATGTCTGAGTGCATGTGAGGAGTGTGAATACACTCCTTCCTGAAATGTTAGGAGTGGGAAAATGAAGGAGTACTGTACCTTATATTTAGGAACCTCATAATCAGATGCCTATAGTAAATGACTTCCAAGAGATATAAGTAAAACATGGCTCATATTAAATGTCTATAACCTGGTCAACTAAAACTGTTATCATCAATGATCACTGACTTCTTAGCTAAAAATTCTTATTCTTTTCCAACTTCAATTTACTTTTTGAATTATTTTTCTCAAAGAAATTAAGGCAAACTATACCACTAATTTAAATATTTACAACCACCATTATAGTATTTAATAAGCAAAAAAAGCTGCATTACCAAGATATCATAATAGGAAACCTTGAAAAGTCTATCTTAAATTGACAACAACAATGTTCTCTTCCATCAAGGCAGGATAAGGAATCTCATCTTACTATGACTTCAGTTTTAACAATCTTCTCAATTAGATGTTTAGTTCTGATGCCTAAACTCATCTTAGTTTAAAGAAATCGCTGCTCGGCCTTTTGGCTGAGATCAAGCGTAGAAATCTCAGAGAAAACACAGTCTTCAAAACAAAGAGTTTCTCATAACCTCAACCTAGTGTCACGCCTAAACACAACAGGCCAGCGGCTGACATCAATTTACCAGCCACACATACTGTTCTGCCTCTGTCCTGCTTTTCCTCACTCCCACTATCAGACTCCTCAGTCAGGGAGATCTTTGCCAAGACTTGGGATGGTCATAAACTGCTCAAGAGTTTAGCTGACTCACTGCCTTTCTTCCATCACGGGTGCTTTCGATGCTCCTAGTTTTAACTTGATTTCACTAAGGTGAATATATGAACATTGCCCCAGATAATATCCGGGACAGCTTTGAGCTTTGTCTTTTACTTTGCCTGTGCTGTCTTCAGGCCGTGCTCAAATAGAGAAGTAGAAAGAAAGCAAAAGAGTGGCCACGGTGGAAGGAATCAAGTGACCTCCTGAAACAATATGCAGACAGCATGGCAGTCGCCAGGACATATGTCTGGGAGCTGCAGCTCAAAGAACCAGCAGCTCAGCGCACCCGAGCACCAGCCCCTTCCCCCAGAGGCTGATTATATATAATTGTGGGCCATGGTTTTAAGTAATGAGCTAAATAAAAGACTCATTCCCCATCCAAATTATCCTTCTGTTTACAATGACAGGGGGAAGTGGGATGTTTACTTATGTCTAAACAGAAACATTTTAATTTAGCTTGTTCTCACAGAAAAGGCAAAAAAAAGTCAAGATATGATTTGAAAGATGCTAATTAATACAATAACAAAAAGGTTCCATTCTCTATCCTTTGAGTATAAGAAGCTAGTACTAAAGTAGCAATTCTCAACTCTAGAATTACCCTTCCCTTCAAACCTATCTTCAGATCCCCAGAGTTTCTCCCAAGTCAGAGTACCCCAAAACTGTAGCTCACACCTCTAACAACACAAACTTCACCTTTCTTTTGCCTACAAACTGTAATAGTACACATTGACAATGGGCATCACTATCAGATAAATTATTTCATCTTGAAAATTAATCTTCAGTTGAGACAGTGGAGGTCTGGAGGTTATGAAATAATCGAATCTATAATGATACAATTCTATAAATTGACTATTAACACAATCAAATGTTTGATGGTAAAAAGCATTAAACTTAAAAGACCTCAATAAATATTAATTTCTGAAGAGCCAGTGGCATTAAAAAAAATGATAATTTACATTCTAATACATAAGTTCCTGATACTATTAGTGCTATTATTATATCATACTTCTTTAAATTGTGGTCTCTATTACCAAAAGGAACTCGTTGTGAAATTAAAGTGTTAACAGAGGCTGAAAGAACATGTAGGCTTATTGAGGTCATGTACACTCACCTGATTTGGCATGTTTCCCTTTACATGTGTCCAAGCCCCAGCTTTATATAAATACTGAGCTGGGCTCAGAAATTTTGCTCTATATTCGGAATTCACCTTCCTAATAGAAATGAAATGAAAGTAAATATTTCACCATGTTAATCATTGAAATACCATATTTTCCTATTAAAATACATACCCAAGCCTTTGATGTTTCCAAGGAGTAAGCTTCCTTTTAGGCTGGTGTAAGTCTTTTAATTCCATCTCTGCTTCCAATTTTAAACGATCGTCTATTTTATTACTCTGAAATGGAAATCATTTAAGCTTTTTATGCTTAAGATGTTACACATTAAAGTGAAAACATGCATGTTATAAAGTTAGACTTGAATATTTAATGACATTTCTATTTTTAGAAGCTTTAGATACTAAAGAAAATAAAAACCATAAGAAATCAACAAAGAAGTTTTGAAATTTTTAGTATATTTGGTTAGTTATTTTTGAAGTTTAGCTGAGGATATAGTTTCATTTTCTAACAATAAAGATTTTAGATCTTTGGCTAAGGAAGAAAATTTTTAAGTTAACAAATACATATCTAAATAATGTTACCACATACTGAATTTGATATTCTAAATTTACAATTGCGTTACAGTAATTAAACATAAGATCCTGATGAATTAGTTACCAAATCGCTTTACTGAATAACAATTCTTTTTTTCTCCAATAATATCATAGGCCTAATATATGTGTGTGTGTATACATCATTTTACTTTTAGTCATATTTACTTGTAATTACATACTTTCTATTTTTAGGACCATAAAGTATCGGGTATCAACATTCCAGGAGATTCAAAAATAGTATTTATACCCCAATTACCTGTAATTTATAATCATGTTAGCCTGATTCTGCAAATTAAATGGCTGTAATATCACACAGAAGCAGTTGTTTGTATATTCTGAGGTAAATCATGTGAATTATACTGGCTATAATTTGGCATGCTAAAGCTTTGGTTTAAAATACATGTGATGGCCGGGTGTGGTGGCTCACACCTGTAATCCCAGCACTTCAGGAGGCCAAGGTAGGCGGATCACCTGAGGCTAGTAGTTCGAGACCAGCCTGGCCAACACAGTGAAACCCGCATCTCTACTAAAAATACAAAAATTAGCCGGGCATGGTGGCGTGCATCTGTAGTCCCAGCTACTCAGGAGGCTGAGGCAGGAGAATTGCTTGAATCCGGGAGGCAGAGGTTGCAGTGAGCCGAGATCGTGCCACTGCACTCCAGCCTGGGCGACAGACCAAGACTCTGTCTCGAAAAAAATAAATAAAAATAAAATACATATAAGTATGTATGTGTTTAATTTCCATAACTTAAAATAAGTATTTCTATCACTACTGTTACCCCTGGAGGTTACTGTAAATCCAGTCATTTGATATTAAACTTACTTGACTTTGATACTAAACTTATTAGACTTACTTCCTGTATTGTTAAGTACTCATCATGCTGTATCATTTTTATTTATGTCTGTCTCCCCACTAGCCCAAGAGCTGCTTGGGGCTATTTGCCAGCCTTGTATTCTCAGTACCAACCCATGTCTGCTCCTAGTAGCTGGCTCAATGAACATTTGATGAACAAATGAATTAATGAACTAGTGAAAACCAAAAACTCCCAGGTGGTAGTAAGTAAACGAAAACGTGGAGAATCTAAAATAACGGGGATTTTGTTTTGTAAGGTTAAAAGTTGATGAATACCTTCCTTTCAGGAGACACTGTTTCAAGATTTCTGTTTTCTCTCAAATCATTTCTTAATTTTGGTTCTTTCACTGGAGATAAACCCTTGAAATTTCTTTTGTATTCAGTTTCATGGATGACTGAGTTACCTTTGAATGGTGGAACAAACTGGCTTTTATTGTGGAAAACCTTAAAACAAAAATTATTTTAGTTTAGTTTTGTTGATTAAATATGCGGAACTTTGGTCTTCAATTACTTAACAAAACATAAAGTTGAATTACAGGACAAAAAAATAGCAAAGTTATATATGATTTTAATTTCATTTCACATATATTATTAACATCCAAAGGTCAACTTTATGTACTCATTACTATGTTTTGAATAACAGTTTTGTAATCAAAATATAGCTTATAATCAAAATAAACGTTGGCATATTTTCATATGACATAGACATTAGCTTTAAGGCAACTCTGTTGTCAGTTCTACAGGTTTTTTTCTTCCTCCCTGACATGATTTTTTTTCTTCCTGCCTTAATAGAAAATTCTTCACATTTCTGAATACCCAATATGTTCAATTTGTTTAGCTTTTCTTCCCTTGGCTTATTTTCAGCGTATTTTATTAAGGCAAAGAAAATGTTCTGAGCAATTACTACACTTCTATTGTTAAATATTTCCTTTTATACTTACTACTTCACAATATGGTTTCTATTTCACGGCATATTACCACTGATTACAAGGAAAGCAAATGGAAAAGATGGGGAACTCAGTCAAGTTATATTACTGCTTTGTAATGCTGGATAGTACATCTTCATACAGATCAGATCTAAACAGTTTATCTTTTTTAGTACAGTATAACCTCAAGGACTTTACTGCCAAAAACTGTTCTGACTCCTTTACATATTAATATAAGACATCCTTTCAGAAAGCAGGTGTCTGATAAAATGAAATGAACAACCCTTTTAGAGGTTTCCTATCAACAAGCATTGAAAGCTGTCTCAAAGCTCTTCAATCCATAGACTCTGAATTCAATATGCTTTGAACTAACCATGAGCATTTCCTTCTAAAAAAAGTATGTGAAACACTTATTAAAGAAAGCAGTAAAACTACTGAATATATCGCTAGTGATTTCTCTTATAAAAGTAACGTTTCTACACAACGCTTTCACTGACATGTAAAAGCCCTATTTGATGATGATAGGGCTTTGATTTGAATCAGCTCTATTTTAAAGGTCAAATACTCTATAAAAAACTGAATAATTACAATTTTCAGGTTGTAAGTAATGTTTTAGGTACACTTAATCTCCAAAAAAACCTGTAGGCAAGCAAAAGAAGTACTGATCCTATTTACTAGGTTAATAAAGGGTATTTATCACTTTGTTACTTCACAGATTCTTAAAATGTTATATAAATTTCAAAGGTATTTTAAAAATTGAATAATAATTAAGCCCAAAGCTGCCACAATTTATAGGATCACTGGTGTTTTTCTATCTTAATGTAAGATGACTAGATGTTATTGTCTTGCTGAATCTAATTATCCTGTCAGTTCTTACGGCTATACAAAATATACAAGTGAATGTTGACGTACAGGAGAAAATGAATGTGAGGGTGTGTGAAAGTGTGTGTATTTATAAAGAAAAACACGAAGACCAGAAGAAAAAACAGACTAAGCCATTACAGGTCTCTGGGGATATTCCAAGTGGAGGTATTTCCTGTCTATGCCTAGAAGTACTGTTAAGAACATAAATGAGAGTTTAAAGCCTAAGAACTCCCTAAAGGATGAAGGTAGTAAAACAACAGACTATCTATTAGTAATGGTATCTCAATACTAAAATTGTGCAGGAGTATAATGAAATCTAATACCACATCATTACAGCTTTTGAATTTTACAAATATAGTTATACTGACAATGCCTATTACTATTTGTCTGATACAAGGACAAAATTACGTATCTTGTGTTACTGTCAACATATTTTGTATTTATTAAATATTCAAAGCAGTTACGCCTTTCTTAGAATACAGGAAACACGCAATATATTAGTCAACAAAACACAACATTTTAGAATAAAATCAATTTAATAATTTTTTAATAAGTAAAAAAATCTTGTAGCATGCAAAAACTTACCAGTTCCCCAAGTTTTCATTACCCTGTCTCATATTTAGTATATGTGCTGCATCTGGCAACAATGATCATCAGAAGCCTAGGACAGTATAATATTACTACCATAAATCATAAGTAATAGGATGATTTTAGCAAAACTCTCATTTTGGTTTTCTAGAACCTACCTCCAGGCTACTTAAGTACTTAATTTCTTTCAACTCTTAATTCTATGTAAATCTACATTACTAGATAAGATAATGGTACTCAGAAATGTATTACATCCATTAAGCTACCTGATTGGCTGCAAAAGCTGGAGCAGTTTCTTTAGAAGTCTTCCAAACAAACTGCCTTTGATATTCAGAATTTCTCAAGGCATTATATGAAGGAACAACAGTCAATCCAGCTTTCTTACGCAGAAGTCTATCCAACTGTTCAAAAAACAAAATCCACTCAAAGACATTAAAAATTTCTATTCAAACTTTTTAAAA
Source organism: Homo sapiens (assembly GCF_000001405.40). NCBI lineage: Eukaryota > Metazoa > Chordata > Mammalia > Primates > Hominidae > Homo > Homo sapiens. The sequence goes on from NC_000012.12 coordinate 68,325,636, forward strand.
ATTGTGGTAAAAAATGCATAACATGAAATCTATCCTCTTAACAAAATGTTAAATCTACAGTGCAAAATTGTTAACTACATGCGCATTGTGGTACAGCAAACTTTCTTCAACTTATAAATAGTATCTTTTTTCAAGTGTCAAACTATTTAAAATTCCTTTCTATCAAAGGACTATTAGGCATCCCAGGAAAAATATAATACTCTCAGTCCTTTCCTACTAATCATTCATAATTAAATCTATTACCAAAAAGTCCCAGCACTTTGCCTCACCTGCACACTGCTTCTATGAACACCCCTTCTCCTGCCTGCCAGACTCACACATCACCTTCCTTGTTCCCTTTCACCCCCAGCTTTTTCAACAAGCTACAGATTCTTCTCCAACACTCTGAAATGCCTCTTCAGGGTCCCAGTCAGTGGTGGACATGAACCAGAGAAGAGCAGTGGAACAGAATGGAGAAAGAAATGTGGAAAGCATTGAGATCCCCACACAAGTTCCTGCAGCCTCTGCTTATGTGCTCACAGGGACCTGCTGCAGGCCAGCTGTGACATAAGAGAGCAGAAATGCAAGATCTCTGAGAGACAGCCAGAGCTCTCCTTCCTTTTGCATTTCATCAATTGAATTTCTGTTTGTCTTCTTGTACACGATAAGAAACTGAAAAGGGGCTAGGTAGAAGTCAGCTCAGCACCCTGCCAGAAGTAAGGGCCTACTTCCCTTCTCTGTCTCAACTTGATCTCTCCCTTAGGACTCAGGTGCTAATATATGATGAATAAAATCCAGACGCAGGAGGTCCATCCAATAAACAGATTATCATAGTACAACTACTACAAAATAGCGAGTAGTCAGAATAGAACTAATTCACAATAACTAAAGTCAACAGCCTGTTATCAACTATTCTTATAGACATTAGACAAGAAAACAACAATGGAAAATTCTGAAACACAAAATGTAATATTACAGAAATGACAATGAAACCAATGAAGAATTCTATGCTTTTGAAAAGAAATGCAGTGAATATGCCTACCCCATTATCTACATTTTCTGAAAGAACCTTGGTAGAATGTTCCAGTTCCACATTTTCATTAACTGGTGTATGGTTTGTTACACCCTCATTATTTTCCACATCTGAAGCCCCTTCAGCTCTGGAGTCTGCAGAGTGAGATCTGGTTCTTTTGGGAACCCTGGAAGCTTCTAGTGAGTGAACTCTTTCTTGAGTAACATCCTTTTGTTCTGCTTCTTGTGATTTTGGTGTTTCCGGGGCTTCTGGTTCTGGTGATGCAACCACATTGCTCTCTGAGATAGCTCCATTCCACTCCAGAGATTTTGAAATCTGTGGGTCATGGTAAGGGACTCTTCTTTTTGAAATAAAACTTGGCTCTTTCGTGATGCCTACAAAACACGGTATACAAAAATAGTAGCTACTAAAGCAAAAAGTTACAAAGACAACTTTTAAGAACACTTGTGGAGGAGAAATGAAATTTTAAATTTAGTTCAGATATATGTACCTATATATACACACAATATCCTTCAGATTATAGGATTTTAAAAGTACAGCTTTTCAACATAAAATATTTAATTTTGCTTTTAAAAGCATTAAAAATTTGACCATAACAAAAAATTAAAAATCAGGGGGTCACAAAATGTTCCAGTTATCCTAACAAAAGTCACTAGAATTGCAACGTGATAGACCTGGCAGGCCAGGCAGTACATGCTGCCTCGTTTCTAATTACTTTCCTGTGCTACTTAACAGAACAATGGGCCCTGGTACTGTCAAAATTTGGAACTTTTCACAAAGCTTCTCTTATGTGGAGCAGACCAAGATGAGAAGGGATGAGATGTCACTGTGCTGGATCTTGGTTCTACATCTGCCTTGATTTCCTGAGAATTAAAAAAGAATAAGCCCTTTTAACAACAGCTAAGATACAATTTCTCTATATTTCTGTATGGAAAGCAAATGTCCAAAAACTTAACCTTCTATGAAGGTAAGAGCAGCTCTGCAGAATGACAGCCACTGAGAGACTGCCCTAGTTTAGGGCCATTCTTTAAGACAGTTGCAGGGTGCAGAAGGAAGATTAAGACCAGAATGGAAAGGGAAGGTGGAAAGAAAATTGGGCATGAGGTAAAACCCAGGGCTCCTTAGCCTCTGTTGTAGATGTCTTGGCCATGTCACCCCGGGTCCTTATCCTTTTAAAAGGCTTCCCTAGACCACAGGTCTTCTCACTGGGTGGATATCTGTCTGGAGGCACACAAAGATGTTTTAGGAGGGTAAACAGAAGTGGGCAGCTTAAGGGAATCATTTTCCAGATCCTCAACTCCACATGTGCTCTCTTGCCTGATGCTGATATATCTGCCTGAGAGCTGCATCTGCCATCTGCAGTTCCATTTCCCACCGCCCCTTTCATAATCTCCTTTTTCCCACTTTAGAGAAGAAAGACACACCTCTTAACCAGCCTGAAACTTACTCCAGTGCGTCCGCCCAAGGTAGAACAAAACCTCAGGGGTAGGGAGCCAAACAAAGGGACAATTCAAGAAAGCATATCCCTGAGGGAGAATATTTGACAGCAAAACAAAGCAGGCAGAGATTAGAAATAACAAAGCAACAGCATCTTATTTCATATAGCTCCATGGATTTTCCATCTACCTTCTCAGTATTAAAATTCAGATATGAGAGGGATGTCATGTGAAATGTACATATGCATATAACACATTTACCTTAATTAAAGATAAACAGACTTTCTCACAGAAAATAATTCTAATTTGGCCGGTTAGTTTGCCAATGAATACTGACTTTGCCAATTGTATGATAAACATTTTCCAAAAATTGAATGGGCTAAATTGGCAACTCCAGAGTTTTTACAAAATATATGTAAAATATATAAGCACTATGCAATATACCAGAAATTCTATCATTCAAAACTATTCATAAAAATTTATTATAAAAAATAGCAATTTAGAAATGTGTGACGAAGCACAATGTTTTTCTAAATTTTTCTAGGAAGTATAAAAGCAAAAAAGCTTGAAGATCACCAATTAGACTCCTCTCTGCTTTAACACAGAGGCAGGTTTTTGGTAGAAGCACAAAATGAAAGAAGATTCTCAAGTGGTCTGCCGCTGTCTCCCAGCACCAGCAAATCCCCAGGGTAAAAATACACTACTCTAAAAGAAGGGACAGCCATCCTCGGTAACACTGCTGTTGTTTTTTGCTAACCTCCCACCTCCCATTCTGAGCATTCTGGAATTCTTGCTCAGTCCCTCCCCATGACCTAAAATTCCCCACTAACGTTCCTCCCCTAGTCCATTCCTTCCTTCATTATATACCATGCTCTAAGGTGGCTTTGCTCTCATGGTCTCATTTCATCACCTTCCCCTCAAATGCAGCTGATCTAAGCTGAAATGTTATTGGACAACTACCCAGTTTAATGAATTTTCCAGTGTCATAATAGCCCTGTAGGCGCTCAGCAGGGTGGGATATCTATGCTTAAACAGAGATTTATTTGGATTCTTAATCTAATGGAGGTTCAAATATGTGGAATTTCTGGTCATTTGTAAAAAGAGGATTATGAGCAGAGGGATTTTCCTAGCACCCTGCCGGAGAAGCAGGGACACCCAGTCTCTGAAGTTTGCCGCTGGGTCAGATCATGATGCTTCAGAGGAACTCTAAAAGAGACACTCACTCTTGCCCACTCTTCCCTTTGTTCTCTAGACCAAATTCTGAAAATACCTCGTCGTCTTACTAACTTTCCAGGCTTGGTACCCTACCCATAAGTCTTTTCCTGGCTTCAAACATCTAACATTTATGTGACTTACATGCCATGCTCGCACACATCACATGTGGGACACTAAGCACTGATCTGTGTACTCAAACCAGGCCCTTAATAGGCAACATCTCATTTAAACCCTCCCAGTAATCCTATGCAACAGACTTCCTAAAATCTCACTTGGTGAAACTAGCTCAATTTGCCCAACATCACACAGCTATTATAATTCAAATTTAGGCTAATTCATTCATTCAAAAAATAGTTTCAAGAAGCAATAGAATGTTCCAAGGCCTGTGTTAGGTACTGGGTGGTGAATAAGACAGAGCCCTACTCTCAGAGATCTAATATACTAGTAAGGAAGAATTAAATAAGCAGGTATAATGAGGTCAGTCTGTCTCCCTTCTGTTCTATCACCCTCCGGGAAACTCTGGCCCAGGACTCTGCCTTCCCTGGGACACAGGGAGGAGGCATGTGTGATAACAAGAACATGACCTCTGAAATTACATGCTTTGCACAAAACAGACTTGATTTCAAATCATGGTTCTGCCACTTACTAGCTGTAAAGCTGGGGCAGCGACCTCATCTCCCTAAGCTTCCATTTCTCAAGACCTTGGGAGCACTCTTCCCCAGCATTGTCCCCTCAGCTTTCAGGTCTCAGCTCAAATATCACCTCCTCAAAAAGAGCCTTTCCCAACCATCTAATCTAAAGCATTTTCCCTCCAATCCACTCCTCCCGCATGTTATGTATCACACTTCCCTACAATTTTATATAAAAACCTGAAATTCCCTTAATTATTGAGTGACTTGCTTACTGTTTCTCTCCACAGTTAAGGGACTTTGGTTCAGGGCTATATCCCTAGTGTTCCCAGACCAAACTGAGGGTCAGGCTGCTATTTCTCTCGGCCAATAACGAGATGCAGATAAACTAGGGAGAAAGAGAGTTTTTATTTCTATAACCAGTTACGGGAAGAAGGCCTGCAAATTATCACCAGACGAACCCCAAATTACAAAGTTTTTCAGAGCTTATATACCTTCTAAGCTATATGTCTACGTGTAAGTGTGCATTCATCTAAGGATATAAGTGATTAACTTCTTTTAATCTATAACTAAGGTCTGAGTCCTGAAGACCTTCTTCTGGAGCATCAGTAAATTTACTTAATCTAAATGGGTCTAGGTGCTGGGCTGATTACCCTTATCTTGTCTCCTGCTGAATCATGGAGGTTTGAGGAGTTCCTTCAGACCGCCAATAAATTTGTGGAGGCCTGGGGAGTTTCTTCAGACCCCCAGTAAAACTTGTTTAATCCTAAACGGATCCTGTTAAGAATTCCTTATTTTGTCATGCTTTATGGCCCAGGAAAGGCCTAGGCAATACTCTTGATGGGCTTTTGTGACATCCCAGCCTTTGTGTAAGGGCACTGGCTTTTTTTAGCTTTCAATATTTAACTTAACCGCTCAGTCAGTACCGAAACAGTTGTGATGGAGGCCTCCATTAGTGAAACCTGGCCTGCCACACTAGCTGCTGGGAATAGTCCTGGCTCATAGTAAACCTTCAATAAATACTTGATTAATAAATGAATAAATCAACCAGGCCAACTGAACTTTTAATATATCATTTGGTAAACTTAGCCCAAGGTTTACTTAGCCCAAGTTATAACGGCTTGGCCCAAGTTATAAACTTAGCCCAGGTTAGAATGGCTATTAGCCTGCTCAACTTACCTAATTGATCTGATCTAAGTCCAGCCCATGGGTACTTTCGCCCCACGGAGGAATTACAAGACTCGGACAAATAAGACTTTTTCCACAGGAAGTTCCTCTGGTATTCACTCAGCCCCTGTAATGCAAAGTACACTTTTGAGTACAGTCCAATTAATGAATGATGTTTTAAAGCAGACATCGGTGAAAAATAATTTCTGAACCTCCCAAAAGAGACTTAAGACTGAAAATTAAACACAGACGAGCTCCTTAATAAGAGCTAATATTCACCCAGCCCTGTGCTAAGCAGTTCACACGTGTTATATCCTTTAATCCACAACACCACTTGAGGCAGATGCTACCAGGAATTCCAGGCTCAGAGGTTACCCTTTCACTGATTATCTGATTCCAAAGCATGAGTTCTTGTCGGATAACTAATGACAATCTAAATTCTCATCATTCTAGATTTATCGCAGGTTTTCACCGAGTACACAATATTATGTACCATGCCTAGGACCTTTTGCTATTTGATAAAGTCAACAAAAGGCAAACTCCCCTTCCATTCTGAATACACGCCTTTAAGATAAATGAGTCAGGAGATGTGGGACGCTGTGGCCACCTGTGAAGTTGCAGGGTGCTAGTCCCTGACAGCTACCAGCTACCTGGAACTTTTAACATACGCTAAGAATGCACAACGATGAAAAACGTGTATTTCTTTATACGCTGTCTTTACTAAGAACCCATTTCTCAAGCCTTTAAAAGCCACATACACTAAAGTTTTAAAGGTAATGGGGGTTAAATGCTAAGCTAAATGGGCCACAGGTGTCCCAATCTGAAGTCGCCTTTAGTTCTCTTCGCAAAGGGACCTCCTCCCATCTCCACTCCTCTTGAGTCCCCCTAAGTAAATGTGTCTCGCACCATCTGACTCTTCGACACACTGCAGCTTGCAAATGTGAGTGAGCGGAGAGGGAACTAGGTTAAGAGGCGGCGGGCAGATTCTGGGGCCCCTCGAGCAGGCCCTGGGGCTGGCAGCTTCCGCCGGGCAGAGGGCTGCAGCGCAGAAAAGCAGCGTGACCTCGGCGCTCCACACCTCCCCGGCCATGGCTCCCCCCAGCCACATTCCGGCCCGGGGACCCCAGCCTCACCTTGAAGCGCACCGGCATGTCGCCCGGCGCCGGAGCCCCCGCTACTCCGACAGTTAACTGGAGAAAAAGCTCCGAGGGGGCGGGGCGATAACAGTGTTCCCTAGCAAAGCCTCGGCCCGGCGTCCCCGACTACGCGCCGGCGCACTCCGCGCTTCCCGCCTAGAGGCCTGTCGGTCTGTTTTTCCCCGCCCTTTTTGGAGCCTAGGGACCAATAGAGACTCGCAGAGTGCCTTACCTCCATTAGGATTTGACCAATGAGTGGCCGAAAGGGAGCCGCCTACCTCCCTTGCCAAATCCCTGGGGCTGATAGAGATGGCGGGCGGAAGGCCGGCCAATAAGGCTCCCGGAACCGGGCTGGGCGGGACCCCGGGGGTGCCTTCCTGGGTTGGGTGGACCGGTCCCTGGTTCGCCGGGTCCTGCGCAGCAATGCGTCTGCTTGCTGGTGGAATTCGCCAGCCGCCAGCCTCGCTGGCCCAGGTGCTTGACAGCATCAAAGGTCAAAGTGTGTTCTTCATGCTAACATCTATGAGAAAACCGAACGCTTCTTTTTCTGAAAGTGCTCAGATTTATTCTGCTGAATATCGGTTCGTACAAACGACAGCCGCATTACAGTTTATTGTCACATCAAAAGGGAAAGGCCAAAAAAATATATAACTTAGGCAAGATTTTTGAAACTTTATTGAAACTCGAAAGACAAACTGCTGTCTCTTCCTCCAGTGATGTTCTTCCTCCTTCAATCTCTACCTTCCCCAAAATGATGTACATACAGCCCTTAGATGAGAAAACGTTTATTGAAGATGGTTGTCTCAACTTCCAAACCTTCAGCCTTGTCTCTCCGCTCAACCTTTTTTTAAAAATAAAACTTCATCTGATTTTAATCGACTATTGCCATCATCGTCGATAAATGTTTCTTGACAGAATACTGCTGATTCTGAGAATTGGGAAAGAAAGAAATTGTCCAGATAGTTCTCTGATATACTTGGGAAGGACATACATCTTTATTTATTTATTTATTCATTATTTATTCAATAATGGTGTAATGTGACATGTGCTAAATTTCTAAATGAAAGGTGTCAATAATAAGGGCTACAGGATCTGGGAGCAGGGAGTCATTTCGGACGGCAGAAGATGCGTCAGGAGGAAATATTCAGACTGAAAGGACTGCAATAAGTAAAAAGTGGGACGATGAAAGGGCAGATGTCTGAATGGAATGCTGCCAGGCTTCTTCCAGGAACAACAAATGAGTGCCTTTTACATTTGTCATGTGTTGACTGAATAAAAGTATACCACTCTTAAACTTTCAAATATCAACACCAATCCTTGATGCTTCCCTTTAAGCATTTTCCGCAAAAGCTGTCTTCCTGAATCCTGATTGATGTCTTTGTTCTTCATCATCATCGAGATACTTAAAAATCATTTGAAGAAGCCACCTGATATCTGGAACAAAGAGCATATTAAATTAGTCCCAATGCAGCCATGCATCCAGGGGGCCCTTGATTAATGTTAATTGGTGATGACAGCATCTCTGTCGTGTAAATTAAGAATGGCACAAACAAGACACAGTGGAACATAGAACAAAAGTCATCTGCAGGAAGGCAGCCCATCTTACAGAGTAAGAAAGGCACAACTTTGGTTGTGCACACAGCTTTGTTACCACAAAATGCTAAGGTGAGATCAGCAAAAGCAAGTGTGTAGAATGTAGCCTGCCTGCTAAACAAGCGCAATGATCACTGCAGAAGAGCTCTGCTGAGCAGGGAGTAAATGACAGGAAAACCAAACAGCAGATTGTAAAAATAACTCAGTCACATCCCAGGCTTGCTAGAGAAGTATCATAAAGACTTAAGGAAGAAGATTTTACTTTGCTATTGTTAAACAAAAGCCTACCCAAGTTTAAGAGGCAAAGATATAGGAATGGGAAAAAAAAAAGTGACTACCTTAGTAAATGAGTTTTGTAGCCTGTGTTTTACCAGCTCTTATCTTCTCTGCTACTGCAGGAAACAGTACCCAGTACCCTACAAAGCTCCACCCATGTTTTGGGGAGTCCCTAGGAGGTATTTCACATGTGCTCGCAGCAACCACATAGCGTATGCCGGGCAGCACTGCCCCTTGTTCCAATAGCCATGCATCTGTAGGTGTCACTCTTGCTGCTGGCTATCACAGCCACTTTAGCTTGGTACTGAGTCTTCACTGGGCACAGCAACTGGGTACAGCCACTCCTCAAACTGCCTGGCATTGGTGGTAATCTATGGCAAAGCACCTCTCCTTTTTGCGTTACCCTCTTTGAAGTGAGTAACACTATGTCTTAGAGAGCCTTCTTTTCATTTGTGTTTTAGCCTTTCTCATCGCCAAAGGGCTCAAAATGAAGTCCGTGGAGTCTAAGCCAAAAAGTAATTCCTCAAGTGACAGATCTCATGCTATGCTTCTCTCTTCCACTAGCTAAGGCCCTCTTACTGGGACAGTGGTATCACACCTGGCTCACTCTTCCCTTTGTTGATTTCTCTATTTCTCATAGGAATAGATTTCTGTCTATTGCTCGTGAGAGACTGAATTTGCACAACCTATATGAAGGGCATTTTGGCAATTTGATCCAGGAGTTCCTCTTCTATAAATTTATCTTACAGATAGACTCACACATATGTGAAAAAAAATATTCATTTAAAGTTGTTTAATGTACTGTTTCTAGTTACAAAAGGTTGAAAACTACCTAAATGTCCATTTAGAGAGAACTAGTCAAATACATTACGGTTCATCCAAATTCAAAGAGTAGCGCAGGTTGTTCTGCTCCTTTGGGCCTTCTGATCCTGCATGGATATGTTAGGTCCAGCTAGGAAAACAGACCCTACACAAGGCATTTCAACAAAGAGAACTTAATATAAGCTATTGGTTCATTAGCTATTGAAGAACTTAAAGCCAAAAGGATAAAGAAGAGGAACTCCAGGAAGCAGCTCATACTGTAAGGCTGAGAGAACAAAAGGAAAATGTTGAGGTTACTAGAATGCGGAGGTTTGTAGGAGAGGCCTCCTGGAGTTGGTCAGACCGCTGAGAAAGGGCCACTGCCCCACTGGTGGGGTGCCTCTGAGGGGACAAAATGAGACTCTCTGGGAACGTCTGGAAAAGAGACAAGCTGGAGACTGCAATGAACTGCCACTGTGGGGTAGAAGATCACTGTTCAGGTGCTGCGGGGAGGAACAGCAAACAAAACAGAGCATCCCAGTCTTTCCCTAGCTTCCTTTCTTGGCAAACATAACAGGGAGCTGGCCATGTGATTTGCACAGTCTGAAGGGTGAGACTGGAACTGACATGCAACAGCTTATTAACTTGCACACTTCCATACAACCCCTAACAAGCAAGAAGCACCTCTTTATGAGCTAACATAGAAGACTCTCAAAGAAAAGAAGCAAGGCTTAGAAGACTGTTTATGGTATACCATCAGTTGAAATAAAAGAAAGACGAGTGAATAAAAGAAAAAAAAAACTGTCCTATGATGTCGCATAATGATGTCATTCACAGGCACTTTCTCCCTCACTCATGAGTCCAACTCCATTAGCGGCAGCTATAAAGAAAAGAGCATTTTATTCAGTTTACTGGTAAGATATGGAAACTTTAAGTTATTGATAGTTACCACTGAGGCTATTTTCCTTAAATAAAATAACTCCATTGGCCCTTTCTAGATTTATCTTGACATATACCTCACGATAAGGCTGTTGCTCCTTTTAGAGACAAAAACATATCAAAATCCTTTGAGGCAAATTTTATTTGCACTTGAAATATAAAATATTCTCATCTACTACTCATTCTATTAAAAAAGGAAGTTGACCACTTCACAAATTAATAATCTCCTATCATTTTCTCAGTAGCAGTTGAAACAGTGAAGAATTTGTATTTGCCTCTAACTATATTTATTTTTATTTAACAAAAGAAAAGTGTATATGAGCAAACACATCAGACGAGGGTTGAAGAAGGGAGGTACAAAGATGAATAAGACATAGCCCCTGTCTTCAAATATAATTATAATCTTCTAATGGGGGATCAATAAGTACACAAAGAACACAGAAAATAAAAAGAAAGGAGAAAGTGAGAAAGGGGCTAAATGTGAGCACCTTGGTATTCTAAAGATGCTTTTAAACCTGGAGCCAGAAAGTTTGATCTAAGATAGACTATTAAAGAGCAGGCAGGATAAAGGAGCTGAATTTAAATTCCATCCTGGGAAACACCTGATCTAGAGACCTTTCACTTTTTTTGTTCTGCCCTGGGTAGCTGAATCCAAGCCAGATGTTCCTTGAGAAGTTTCAACTAACATTGCTGAAGATCGGTTCCCAAAAAGGTGAATTACTTGCTTTCTGTTGTCTTTTTTTTTCTTGTTGCTTCGGAAATCAGTAAAGCTGTTTTAGAAACTACTATTTTATCAATATAGTGATACACAGCCTTGTGTTTACATATATGTAATTTTCTCTGAAATACCTTACAAGGTAACTGAAATGCCAGTCTTTGGGCTTAGTAATGCTCTTTAGCTCTGTTAACATTCTCTCAGGTCACATTTAATTGGGCTTTCATTGGTAAATCTTGAGCTCAGCCTTTGCCAAAAAGCAATCAGTCTGACAACCGCTTTCTTTTGCATTTTTCCATAGGTATTAGCTGATTTTTCCTCCTATGAATGAATTTCTGATTGCACAACTAAAAAAAATGACAATTAAATCCATGGATTCTGTCTGAGAAGCAAAATTGCTGATACTTCACATTAATGTCAGTAAGAATCGAATAAATAGGTTCTATGATTAAGACTTAGCAATGAGCCAAGTGCAATTTGCCCTCCAGACTTTTAGCCGTGAGATGCCTTTGTTGACAAGGGAGTGTCTGGCTTTTGAATCAGTGGGGCACCTTTTGGAGGGACTCCAGGTTCTCTTGACAACAGGACTTTTTTTTTTTCTCTCTTTTTGGTGAGCCGAAAGGACTCCTCACCATACAAGGCCACGGCTGAGTAAAGTAATTCTCAGTAAGGCATAAACCACTGGCAAGCCTCACATACCATAATAATAATGTTGTACTGCAGCTGCACAAGGTCCAGGGAATACATTTGGGGCACAAAATTTCTTTCATTTTAATACCTTCACTGTATGATTCTGTTCTAAGAATTCCCTTTCCTTTTCTTCATTGATTATTTATTGTCCTAAATCACCATCTCTTTGAAAAGTCCTCACAGGGACGCAGATATTTTCCAGAATTGCTAATTGCTGATTTGAAAGCATGAATTCTCTCATCTCATCAAATCGGATTCTGTGTCTTAAGGTCAGATCAGCCTTTCTAAGAATCTTGTAAATCTCTACCTTTATGCCAAAATAAATTTTGAAATATTTCTTTTATCACGGGTAATGTACATGCACCTGTAATCCCAGCACTTTGGGAGGCTGAGGCGGGCGGATCATGAGGTCAGGAGTTTGAGACCAGCCTGGCCAATTTGGTGAAACCCCTTCTGTACTAAAAATACAAAAATTAGCCGGGCATGGTGGCACACGCCTGTAAGTTTCAGCTACTCGGGAGGCTGAGGCAGAAGAACCGCTTGAACCCAGGAGGCAGAGATTGCAGTGTGCCGAGATTGCACCACTGTACTCCAGCCTGGGTGACAGAGCGAGACTCCATCTCGAATAAATAAATAAATAAATAAAATAACTGCAGATTAAGTCCAGATTGCTACTATTATTCTTTCTGAAATCGCCAGTCTTTCTACTGATAATGGTATCTGAAGTATCAATAAGGGACCAAAAATTTTTCAGAACATAAAGTCAGTTTCCTCTCCTTTGTGGCTTATAATTGTTGACTCCCTTAAGAGATTTTTATCTCTTAAGGCCTGGCACGGTGGCTCATGCCTGTCATCCCAGCACTTTGGGAGGCCAAAGCAGGCGGATCACAAGGTCAGGAGTTCGAGACCAGCCTGGCCAACAAGATGAAACCCCGTCTCTACTAAAAATACAAAAATTTTCCGGGTGTGGTGGCGCACACCCATAATCCCAGCTACTCAGGAGGCTGAGGCAGGAGAATTGCTTAAACCCGGGAGGTGGAGATTGCAGTGAGCTGAGATCGCACCACTGCACTCCAGCCTGGGCAACAGAGCGAGACTCCATCTCAAAAAAAAAAAAAGATTTTTACATGTATTTTGCTGGAGCAATTAGTATAAAATCTTAGTATCGTGTTATTCAATTCATCCTTCAACCTCTCAACTTCTATTAATTGAATGAATGATGGTTGACAGTGTAGCATGATATGTCCAAATGTAAAACACTGAATATATAAATATGTTGTTTTAGTATCATTGAGCACTATCTATGGAATAAGTTTCAGGAATCGTATGTATTTTAGTTAATCATGCTGTGGTGATGCTGAGACTGACTCATTCCAAATTCATGCCAACCTCCTTCTCCTACTGCAGAAGCTGGAAAACTAAAAACCCCTTTGACCTTAGACCCCTTTGCAACTGAAGTGTGGGTATAATTTACATTCTGCTGATCAGAAGCACTTGCATAAACTGAGTTAGATGGGAAAAAAGCAGAGCACAGGTTTGCATTGCTGTAAATCATGACAGTAGCAGCAACAGCAGCGTAGTTCTGGAGTTGGCAGCTCTACCAGCAGCTTCCTGGTCATAGCAGAGGTGAAGTCGGAGCTTGTAGCAAAGGTGTCTCAACTTAGCAGGCAGATTCTTGGTTCCACGACTTCCTGACTGTAGGCTCCTTTAGTGAGTCTGTTCTGTGATGTGGCCCTAGAGTCTACTTCTTCAGCTCTCATAATGATTCTTTAAGCCACTTGTATCAATCGTCGGTTGCCACAATAATGCTGCATAACAAACACTCTCAAATGCAGCAACTTAAAATAATAACCATTTATTATTGCTTATGAATCTCTGGGTCAGTTGGCCAGTTCTGCTGATGTAGGTTGAGCTTAGCTAATCCCACTAAGCCTGCTTGTGGATTTGTGGCCAGCTGATGGGTTAGCTAGAAATTGGCTGGTCTCAGATGGCTTCAGCTAGGACAACTCCTCATCGTTCCACTTGGGCTCTCATCTTCTAGCAGGATAGCCTGGATTGTTTTCATGGAAAAGGAAAGATTCCAAAAGGAATCCAAAGTACGGAGGATTCCAAAGTATGTGAAGCCTCTTGAGGACTTGGCTTCGAAACAGCATACCATCACCTCTACCATATTTTGTTAGCCAAAGCAGATTAAAAGGCCATCCCAGATTCAAGGGCTAGGGAAATAGACTCAACCCCTTCACGGAAGGAGTGGCAGAGTCACGTTCGTTGTAAAGGAAGAATGAAGAACTGGTAGACTAGTATTGCAATACTAGTCTTCCTCACTACTGAATACCCTGAAAATACCCTTTCTGTTTTGAAAAGCTAGAATAAATTATATTATCTGAAATTTAACTCTGACCGATACAATGCCAGTTCAGACATATGTGTGCATGCTTGATGTCCCTCTTAAAACTCTGTAAAATGACAGTAACTGAATGCCAGGGCAAACACATGCATTCATCTCAATTTCCTCTTAAAACTTCATGAAATGGGCCAGGCGCGGTGGCTCATGCCTGTAATCCCAGCACTTTGGGAGGCCGAGGTGGGCGGATCACGAGGTCAGGAGATCGAGACCATCCTGGCTAACACGGCGAAACCCTGTCTCTGCTAAAAATACAAAAAAATTAGCCAGGCGAGGTCGCGGGCGCCTGTAGTCCCAGCTACTTGGGAGGCTGAGGCAGGAGAATGGCGTGAATCCGGGGGGCAGAGCCTGCAGTGGGCCGAGATCATGCCACTGCACTCCAGCCTGGGCGACAGAGCGAGACACCGTCTCAAAAAGAAAGAAAAAACTTCATGAAATGATAGTAAATGAATAAAACAGGTATAACAGGTATAAACCAGTGAGGTCAAAGAGAATGGCAGAGGGGACAACTGTAAAATAGAAATATTAACAAATATTGAAGTTATGGAGAGTAGTCTGTTGCAGATGGGGTTCTCTGGAAAGCAGACTCGGAGATGAAGTTTAACGTGCTGAATGTCTATTAGTGAGTGTTCCTGAGATCAACACCTGTGGAAGGGAGGGCAACAGAGTAGAACTGGGTAGAAGAAGAAGTGAAGCTGCAAGGCAGGCCTGACAGCCTCAGCCAACCCCATGAGAAATCATGAACTAAAATGATTTGTCAGAGGTGTCCTGCCTTGGGCCAAAATGAGCCTCCTTAGGAAGGCTGTAACCTTGGAAAAGGTGGCTGTCTGCCGTGGAGGTAACCTCTAAAGGGGCTGACAGCAGAAAGCACTCCGAGTAGGAGCAGCAACACATCCTTCTTTGAAGTGGAATATGGACAGTGCATCACTGAAAGCACGTTACTGTTTAAGCAGTCAGTGTACCTCACAAGCAGCACATACTTGAAGGCTTACACACACAAAAAAACTCTGGTCCTATTGGGAGCTAGTTTCAATGCAGCTGTTAGACTCTTAGTCTTCAAACCTTCAGGAGTGAAGAAGAGTACCTGTCAGCATGAGTTCCTTTTGCCACAGTGTAGAGTCCCAGATGGAACATTGCCACATCCTGTCCGGTTCCTGCCTTAGCAAAGAACTGACTCCTCCTACTGCCAGAATCCTAAAAAGAATCCTTTATCTTTTTCATAAGCTTTCCAGCCTACTTCTGGTTCAAAACTCTCAGAGACAAAACACTGGATCTGCATCTCCTCCTTTCCCTTCCCTAGACTGGTCTCCCCTTCCTTGCTTTGTGGCAAAGTGGTTATGTTTTGCTCCTGGGGCGGATCATCCACAGTCCTGTGCTTCCAGACATTCTGGTAACGTTGGTGCCATTGAAACAATGAGGAAAGCCAGATCCAGGAACCAACAGGACATCTGCTTATGACGTCCATAGCCAAAGGAAGGATGGGAATTGGGTATAGAGAAACCCCAGCCCTAGAAGAGAGCAAGAAAAAAGGAACTGGATTTGAGGAGCTATGCAGACTTGTCTTTTTATCTATGAGACTATAAAACACCATATAAAGGGAAATTGTCCGTATTTGTGACCCAAAAAAAAATTGGCTCCCTAAAATTAATTCCAATTGCAGTCATTTATAAACCAGCTACTACCACTTATGCCTAATTACCATGCAGCACAGTAACAACCGTACATGCCATAAAGCATGTGATCAGTTCATTGATTGGAAAGCTAAACTCTGCAACTATAGGGACAGCCGATGTGCAAACACTTTGTGAATTGAAAAGTGTTACAGAAATGGGAGCAGTTCTTGTCATTAGGCTATAAAGAATGTCTCCTTTTGTATCCTTCCTCATCTTTGCTGTTCCTAAACAATGGAACTCACATAGTTTCACTTCAGTCATCTCTTAGTCTCAAATTATTCTAAACAATACTTTTTCTGATTATTATTAGTATTGGCTACAATTGATTAAGTCCTTGCTACATGTCTTTAGGTTGTCCATGCTGTACCATAATGTTTCAGTCGGGAAATCAGAGCCACTATAGGTTGTACAGGAATAAGGGGCTTCATATAGAAATGCAAGCTTGCCCAGATGTGAGAGAAGGTAAAGTAGTGAAAGTCGAGACAGTCACAGCCCAAAGACTGGAAAAAAAAGTTGCTGATGACTTCAGCCTAAAGCCTGGAGTATGGATAGGGAGCTGATGGGTGAAGACTGAGAATCCTGCCATCACTACAGAGTGAGAGCTCATAGAAAGGACTATGGACTCCCACATCTGGTGACCCTGTCTGATAAACCTCAGCAAGATTTACCCTGAGAACAATGGTCTCCTATCACTTCTGCCTACCAAGTCTTGCACAAGTCGCAAACTCAAAGTCTCATTGACTACTTCCAACCCAGAATTATATAAGAATGGAGATTCTGGGAAAGGTAGTTCCCAGCCTTGGACAGGCATGGCACTGATGGTGTGGAGTGACCAACAGGCTGTCTGGCATACGGACAACTCTACTATGTAGGATGTAGGTGTTACTGTTAATATTTTTTGGCAGATAAAATTCTGAGATGTTTAATAACTTGCCTGAAGTCACATGCTAATCAGTGACAGAGCTAAAAGTCAAACCCAGGTCGGTCTGATGCTCATGATCCTACCTTAACAACTCTTCTCTAACAGTCCTTCAAAATCTGTATAAGTACTATTAATTGTCACAATATTTCTTCTAATATTATGTCCCTGTCTCTGTGACTACCAGAGGCATATATTTTGACTATCCTAGAACATTGTGGATAAGAGATATAGATCTTGGGAGTAAAGCAACATGTCAGGGATGCATTCCTACTCTGGGGCCAGAGCTGGGACATTTCTGCTGCCCTCAGTAGCAGGTGAACTGTTAGGCAGCTTACAGGGCTGCATTATTAGAAAGTCCTTTTTCCTCCTCTGGTCAAAGAAAAATTAATATCTACAGTCCTCAATTCTCCAGTCTCTTCCAAGTACTGTGCCCTACACAATGCTTCCCTGAATGTACTTTTGGAGGGAGGAAAGGGTATGCATTCTTAAACTTCAAATTGAATGTAAAAAGCTTTAAGGGGACTATTTGGAGAACTTCCTATGTGCTCCCTAGACTTTGTGAGATGGAGTGGCTATTATCTAATTGGGGGAAATGCAATGGGGAAAGTTTGCAGCTGGAGTTGGTTTAACAGCAGAATGAAGAGAGGAGGGTGCATTAGGAACAATATGCATAACAGGGCAAGAATGTATGAACTCTCATGGGCCAAGCTAGACAGATGGAGAGGACCAACCTGGAGTCATGTTCAATCCTACCTAACAGTATTCCCTGAAGGGGAAATGTGACCCAACTGTGGATTGCCAGAAGTTCAGGTGTTGAGAGTGAGATCAATGTGGTCCCTGAAGTGCAGCCCTGCCCACAAAAAGGGAGCTGCAGTCAGAGGTCCTCACTGGGCAGGCCTCCAAACACATCCCTCAAGGGAAAGAGCCAGCAATTGTGCACCTGCCACCTCAGAGGAAATCATCGGATTACAAACTGCACAAGCCACAAAAGGCCTTTTTTCATTAATCCTCTGTTCTTCTGAGCCTAGCTCTGAAAACGTCAGAAATAGCATCTAGAAAGCAGAGAGTAGTAGAAGGAGAAGCAGAGAAGTAGAAATGTCAATTACGCATCTCTCCAAACACGGATATCCAAGCCCTAACCAGGCACATGGTTGGGAAGGTAGGAAGACAGGAAGAAGGGAAAAGGGAACCAGATCAGAGTTTTATGCTCATGAGAAACTTTAAAAATCATGAAAAGGAGGCTGTTCTTGTGACTAAAAGTAACCAAAGGATTTTTTTATTTCCTAACTAGGAGTAACTGAAGAAATTTGGAACCTAGATGAGATTGCATCCAGGAATGGGATTTAGCAGGGAGAAATGGGAAATAATAAAGTCTTTCCCCTATTCAGTCCAGCTTGTAAATAAAATGATCATAACAATGTAATAGAAACAATGAGAGAACATAAAAGGACTCTTAGAAACTAAAAACATTATAGGAGAATTTTTAAATGGTGTATAAGAGTTAGAAAATAAAGCTGAGGAAATCTCTTGGAAACTAGAACAAAAAGAAACAATCAATTAAAAGACAATAAAAGTCAACAGTCATCAGGAAGACCCAGAATATGACATCGTAACACCTCTGTTTAAAAAAAGAGAAAACCAGAAAAAAAATGTAGAGAAGAAAATTACTGAAGAAACAATGCAAGAAATCTTCCCAGAATTGCTGACATGAGTTTCCAAATTAAAAGTGCCCACCCTGCACATGCATTAATTCATTCTGTAAATATGTGAATGCACCTTTTATGTGCTAGATGCAGTTCTAGAACTATGGCAGACACTAAAACAGGAAAGTCCCTGCTATGGAGCTTGCATTCTACTGGAGGGAGACAGGTAAGAAAGAAAGAATTATATCATGTGTCAGATGGTGATAGAAATTATTAAGTAAAATAAACCTGCATAAAGGAATATGTGATGAGGGGGTGTGGGGGAGGGATCACTGTTTGAAAGCGTACAGTTAAAGACCTCTCTGATAAGTGACATCTGAGCAAAGAGGGTGAGAGATGCAAGTATGCTAGGAATGTAAGCCCAGCAAGGGCAAGGTTCTTTGTCCACCTTGTTTACTGACATATCCCAACGACCTGCAGCATACTTGGTACTCAACAAACATTTGTTGAATAAATGAATCTGTTCCATATGCTGTTGCATAAGGAACAGCATATGCAAAAACCCTGAGACAAGAACAAGAAAGTTAATGTGGCTGGAGCAGAGGAAGCTTTGGGGGTAATTGTAGGTGATGACCTTGGAGGCTGTGGCTAGAA
Organism: Homo sapiens; assembly: GCF_000001405.40. Classification (NCBI taxonomy): domain Eukaryota; kingdom Metazoa; phylum Chordata; class Mammalia; order Primates; family Hominidae; genus Homo; species Homo sapiens. The sequence continues at coordinate 68,344,541 of NC_000012.12, forward strand.
CTTTGGATTTTATTCCGAGACACGGAAATCCATTGCAAAGTTCTGAACATCATAGTGTCACAATACAATTCACATTGTTAAAAAACTTACCCTTGCATCTGTGAAGAAAATAGATGGCAACAGGACAAGAATGGGAGCAGGTAGACCCTCCCAGTCCAGGCAAATATTACCAGTGGCTAAGAGTAAGGTAGTATCAGTGAAGAAGTGATCCTATTATTGATAGATCTTAAAGCAGAGTAGACAAGACTTGCTGATTAATTAAATGTTACGCGTGAGAGAAATATAAAAGTTAAGGATGAAACCAAAGTTTTTAACCTAAACAACTTGGAGGATGGAGGGGGAAACAAAGGAACTAGTTGCAAGGTGAGAAGTTAAGGGTTATTTTGGATTTATTGATTTTGAGATGCCTAAATGACAAGTGGAGATGCCACATGTATTTCTTTGCTAAATAAATAAATTGGTGGAGAAATTGCATATTCAGGTTTATCCTCCTCAATATAGTGTATCTATCTCAAGGGCCACACGAGTGACCTATTTTAAGGCTCATTTCCAACATTGACAATGCAGTAGTCCTCCCCTCACAGCTAGAGTAAAAGCTGTTGATTCTCTCCTTTTACGGTGCCTGCAGGATTTTTTCTTTCACATGTACACCCTTCCTTTTCCACATTACATCCTCCCTCTTTCCTCTATATTCTTGGGGCATAGGTCCCTCTTATTTTGTGTGTGTTGCAGGGGAGGTAAAGGGAAGACAAGCAAACCCTTCATTTGGCCATTCTGCTCTTTCTCCTTCATTTCCCTGACTAAACTTTGTCGCTTCTCCCTCCAATCACGGATAGAGCTTTCACTTTTTTTTTTTTTTTTTTTTTTAATATTGAGACGGAGTCTCACTCTGTTGCCCAGGCTGGAGTGCAGTGGTGCTAACTCAGCTCACGGCAACCTCCACCTCCTAGGTTCAAGCAATTCTCCCACCTCAGCCTCCCGAGTAGCTGAGATTACAGGCACATGCCACCATGCCTGGCTAATTTTTTTTATTTTTAGTGAAAACAGGGTTTCTCTATGTGGCCAGGCTGGTCTTGAACTCCTGACTTCAAGTGATCTGCCCCCCTCGGCCTCCCAAAGTGCTGGGATTATAGGCATGAGCCACCACGCCCAGCCTGAGCTTTCACTTCTTAACCCTGACTTCCATCTTCAAACCCATCACCAAACCAGTCCTTTGAAGGCCAAGGCTTTGGGCTGTTCTCCAGTCTCCTTCACACTCGGTGGGCCTCTGCACCCTTCCCTGTGTTGACTTCTCATTGTAGGCCTCCCCTGGGATTCATCCTTGGTCACCTGCTGTCCTATCTGCGTGCTTCCTCCCTCAGAAAGCTCATCCATCCCCATAACTGCAGTGAACACCTCTGCACTGATGACTCTCAACCGTAATGTTCAGTCTTGACTTCCTGTCAGAGCTTGGACTTCCTGAGAGGTAGTTAAGCAAAGTGATGGTCTAGAATAAGCACTGAATTCAGATGGCTTGGGTTTAAATCCCAATTTAACTGTATAAACTTGGGGTCATCTTTAACTTCTCATTCTTCATAAAATGGGGATAATAAGAGTATCTGTCTCAAACAGATTCCTTGAGGATAAAATAAAGGATAAAATACATTTACATGTGTAAAACACCCAGTGTCTGGCACATAGTAAATAATAAAGGTTAGTTATCATTATTGGACATCACACTTTCACTACCAACTCAATTTATACAACACCACACTCCTCATTTGTTTCTCTCTCCCTTTAATCAATTGTCCTCCTGTTTTTTCATGTTGTCTCTATTTCTCAGATCCACATCATTGAACATTTGTAATAATCTCTGACTTGCCTTTTACTTCAATTTCTTTATTCAGTCAGTTAACAGACAGATCTTGCTAATTTTCCTTTTTTGTTGTTGTTGTTGTTGTTTTGAGATGGAGTCTCACCCTGTCACCCAGGCTGGTGCAATGGCACGATTCTCCTGCCTCAGCCTCCCGAGTAGCTTGGATTACAGGTGTGCACCACGACGCCCAGCTAATTTTTTGTGTCTTTAGTAGAGACAGGGTTTCACCACATTGGCCTGGCTGGTCTCGAACTCCTGACCTCATGATCCAACCACCGCAGCCTCCCAAAGTGCTGGGATTACAGGCATGAGCCACCGTTCCTGGCCAGGTCTTGCTAATTTTCTTACTAATTTTTTCTTTGATGTGTCACTTAAATCTTTTGCTTTCCTCTTTCGCCCTCTGCTATGCCTCAGTACAGCCCCAGCTCCCCACACCAAGGCAGCCAGGGCTACAGCCTCTTTGTGAGTCTCCGTGGACTCAGCTCTTCAGCCCCAATAATGGAAATCTTCTTTAGATCCCAAACAATGTTCTTCTCTTCACTCAGAAATGTTCAGTATTCCCAGTTTCCATTCCCATCAAGTGCAGAATCCTTCAGCTAGAGAGCACTTTCTAGAACTTCCGCAATATGGCTCCACTCTGTACAACCTTATTTCCTTCCACTTTGCCTGCCCTGTCTCCCTACTGCACCAAGACCACGTCACATTGTTTCTGGTCTCTGCTTCTTGCATTTTGTTCTCGCCTAAATTTCCCTCCTCACTCTTCTCTACCAATCTCAATCTACTTGTTATTTAGCCCGGCTCAATCTCAGCTTCCTCCCTGAGATGCACATTCTTCCTATTACTTGACCTCATTCTTCCTATTACTGTAGCACCTGAAACCAACATTTGACCCCGATGACACATTGTGGCATATTATTCCATGTAGTTTCAAAATGTAAGTCATTTTTTGTGTGTATTAGATTATAAAATCCGTTTTCTAAAGTTCAGTGTCCCTGCCCCACCCTTCCCTACTGCACACCTGGAAAAGCCATGAATCCATAGAAAAGACTCATAAATTGATAAAATATAAAAATACTACTAATAATACACACTATACTATATGCCAAGGAGCTTTACATATATTCATTTGTTTAATCCTTACAATAATTCTATATTAGAAATAGTAGAAATATTATTATCCTCATTTTACAACTGAGAAAACTGAGGCACAGAGAGGCTAAGTAACTTGCCCATGATTGATCACTGACTCAGAGTAATCTTCACATATGGAGATATGTGAAGGAATGCAAAAATACAATCTAAGAAGATTATACTGTAAAAAATACACTGAAGACCCAAGGAAGAGAAATCCAAAACCTCACCCTCACTTCAGTAATACAAAATTTCTGTACTTCTGAGTTGTGAAGGGAAGGAATAAGTAGGAGTCACTTTTTTTTTGAAATCTTTTTGAGATAGTCTCACTGTGCTGCCCAGGCTGGAGTGCAGTGGCACGATCTCAGCTCACTGCAGCCTCTGCCTCCTGGGTCCATGATTCTCATGCCTCAGATGCCCAAGTAGCTGGGATTACAGGTGCCCACCACCATGCCCAGCTAATTTTGTGTTTTTAGTAGAGATGGAGTTTCACTATATTGGCCAAACTGGTCTTGAACTCCTGGCCTCAAGCCATCTGCCCACCTCAACCTCCCCAAGTGCTGGGATTACAGGGGTGAGCCACCACGCCCAGCCAGGAGTCACGTTTTTTTAAGATGCAGTTTGTCATTTTTTATTTATCTGATTCTAAATGAATCACAGAAGAAACCTAAAAAGAGCTGGTCCCCCTGTCCCCATTTTTAGGTGAGGTCAATAGGACTGCTTTGAGAGCTCACTCGGGCCCAACCATCAGTCTGTTATGAAATAAGTATCCCTGTAAATTGGCAACTACCCAACTAACTGCCCTATCCCGAAAAGGGACAAGTGCTATGTGCTGTGCTCTGAAAGCCGCACTTTCTTTGCCTTGTTACAAAGGAACAGTTCTGGCTGTTCACAAATAATGTAGAGCTATATTAGCTTGCATCTGTTTGAAATCAGCCAATTATCCCCCAAAACAGCAGCTAGCCTTCACCTACCTGAGCTCCAGGTCCTGTCCATCCTCAGAAGGGAGTGCGAAGGGGCTGGATGATCCCTTGATGTCTGGCTGAGCGGCCAACACCCTAATGCTCAAGGCGACAGCCCCAAATGCTGGGCTCTTGCCCCAACACTCATCACCTCCCTTGTGTGAAGGAAAGACTACAGCCCATCTCCAGACTGAGGTGGCAAGTCGTAGAATTGGACTAATCAGTCATTTTCCTCTGACCTAATTAGGAAGTTGTACCTCTTGGCTTTTAGTTTGAGAAGAGAAAACCAGTGGCCTGTTACCTCAGAAAACTCTTCCCGGTGAGAGGCCAGCTCTTCTGCTCTGATTGCCACATGGAGATTTTGCAAATCTGACTAAAAATTTATTAAAATGGTTATGCTTGCCTACAGTAGTAGGCATCTTTAAAATGAAAAGGAATTAAGAAACCTTGTTATATAATGAATGTTTTATACCACCTCACTGGTATTCAAACATATTTTTTTCCTAAGCTCAGATGATTTCCATATGGGTGAAAGACTTCAGATTTTAATTGTATCAAAGATAATTAACAGGACTCTGAAAAGGTAGTTACCTACATGTCATTCTACATCCAGCAAAATATTTGCGTGAGAGGATGTTTCAGCTGTCGCACACAACCCTGACTGACATTTAAGTGGATTATTAGCTGTCTTGCCCCAGCATCTATTCTGCTTTAGTGGCTTCTATCCTCCAACCCCGCTGAAAGTGACTCAAGGCACTACAGATTCCAAATGCAGCCTGCCAGATTAAGCAGAGAAACTGCAGGAAGCATCCCTACATTGTGAGAGGAAAGTCAGTGCAGTTCCCCTGAGATAGGTGTGCGTTAATGTAACCATGGTTTTTAATCTCCTTGGATGCTCTCTCTGTACCTATGCATACCATGTACAGCATGCTCAAAAGAAACATGATAATGGCTAACAGCTGGATTCTTTCTAGCAGTTTCTTATCAAGTGCCTCATAGTTTGCAGCTTCCCAGAATAAAGAGTGTCTCTGAGGCTTAAGCCCAGAAGCTTAATTTATAAACTGAGTGTAATGAACCTTGTCAGAATTGTATTACCACTTGGCTTGTACCATAATATATGTGTGGAGTGGCTATTGTATACAAAGATGACTTATTTCAGCACACTGGAACTTTCCATTTGTTAACTGTCTCTCAGCCCTGGAATAGTCATTTTGCTTTTGTTTTTATTTCAATAGCTGCCATTTAGCAAGCTGCCATGAAGATAGCCATCTCCATCTGATTCATTTGGGGCTACAATTCATGTATTAAGGTTAAATCCATATCTTTTATCCACCTTGGGTGAAGAACATGAAAGATCCTATACAACTGGTCTAACACCTGTGTGTTCTCTCTCCTAAAAGTTAATACCCAATTCAGCTTGGTGCAGGTTTTAAAATTTAAATAAAAAAATAAAGTTAATATTCAAGTTAAACCTTGGTCTATGTCTAATCATTACAATCCTTCTGGAATCCACAAATGCCAAAGCATTTGCCCCAAAAAGCAGCCTGGAACCAAGGTGTAATGAAGCATTTCACCGGTCCCACTGGACAGGGCTGTGAATCATCTTCCTTTCTTACCCAGTTGGCACAGATACATAGCAACTGAACAGCATTTTGTCTCCGGAACAGTATAATTTCCTTAAATTACCATTAGGTACTAGTGTTGTTTTCACTAGCAGCTTGTACAGGGCCAGACATATCTCAGGGAGACCAAACAAATCTTCAGAAGCAACCCGCATGTGGAGAAACCATGTTGCAGAGTTTGAAACCTCTTAAGATGGAGTAAGCAAAATCATCCTCCTAGCTCAGCTGCCTGGGAAACTTGAGCCCCTGGCACCTGAACATCACCACGGCTCCAAGCAATGACACCATCTTTTGTTCTCTGGTTTATTTTTCTGCCTAACTCCTTCTGTCACCTGCCTCTTCCCTAGGGACTGAGCTAATAGAAGATTGGTACCTCTCTCAGCAAGTCCATCTGGTTCATTGAAATTTATCTCACAAAGAGTAGCAATTTGAAAGATGGGAAGAGTGGCACAAAGTGGTTTAGTTTCTATAAGTGCCCCCCCCCCCCGCCAACTTTGTGGGGGAAAAAAAAAGCAACAGCTTCCCTTTCACTGCAGCAGCAACCTGTAAGGTAATGGATCATTTCAGGGCATTCAGATCTGGCCTACATTGGCGCTGATATTTATCCGGCTTATTCTGGTATTTTCTTCAGGTTAAACTTGTACTACTTCAGTGTCGCACTGACAGTGACTTTCTTTCTTAATGTTCACAACCTGGAGGGAGTGAACAAGGCATATACAAAAGGTAACAACACATTCACAATATAAACAAAGAGCAAAGAAATCTTTATATTTCCCTGTAGATTCCTGCTATTTTAAGAAGCAGTGGTGGTTGTGCCACTTATTCATTTTTTAGCTATGAGTCGGATTTGCAGCATTCTCCTCCCTAGTCTGTGGCTAGAATAGCGTTTTCCAAACTATGGGCCCTACTGCTAAAGAACACACAATCTGCCTGGGTTTGAATCCTTGCTCTACTACACTAGCTGTGTGAGTTTAGGCAAGTTACTTAATGTCCATGTGCCTCAGTTTCCTCATCTGCAACATGGGGAAAATAATAGTGCCTATTTCTTTTTGTTTGTATTTGTTTCTGTTTTTGTCTTTTGAGATGGAGTTTCACTCCGTCTTGTTGCCCAGGCTGGAGTGCAACGGCACGATCTCGGCTCACCACAACCTCTGCCTCCCAGGTTCAAGCAATTCTCCTGCCTCAGCCTCCCGAGTAGCTGAGATTACAGGCATGCGCCACCATGCCTGGCTAATTTTTTTTTGTATTTTTAGTAGAGACGGGGTTTCTCCATGTTGGTCAGGCTGGTCTCGAACTCCCGACCTCAGGTGATCCACCCACCTCAGTCCCCCAAAGTGCTGGGATTACAGGCTTGAGCCACTGCGCCCGGCCAATAGTGCCTATTTCATGAGATGGTAGTGAGAATTAATTTAGTTAATATAGGTGAAAAATGTAAATACTGACTGGCTAATTGTAAGTATTAAATATTATCATTATTCAATTCTACAGAACAGTAGTTCCAAGAGATGTTTCTAGGGAAACAAGAGCCTGTGGTCAAATAAGATTGAAAACGCTTCACACTAACATATGTCATCAAATCTACAAAGTTATTGATTACATACCACTAGGAAAGAAAAAGCAATGCCAATTAAATTAGGACACAATGCTTTCCCCAGGGATTTGGCGATTTTCCTGGTTTCAGTTGTGTTGCTCCCTTGGTGAGTGGTAGCCACTCCTTGTGCGCCTACCTCGGTAACAAATATAGCCCTAGCTACTGGGTATCTTCCTTTCTTAAGTTCTATCAAGCATTTGGTTATTGCTTTGCAAGAAGATAAGGAACTGTAGTGCTGTGGGCTAGATGTTTGTCCTCCTAAAATTCATACATTGAAATCCTAACCCCCAAGGTGATGGTAACAGGAGGTGGGGCCTTTGGGAAGTGATTAGGTCCTGAGGACAGAGCCTTTATGAGTGGGATTAGTGCACATTAAAAAATGCCTGAGACAGGAATATTCAGCCCCTATTCAGCCTGAAGAAGTTACAGAGGGTGACTCTTCATCCCTCTGTAACCGTTAGGATTAAGGGTCCCCTTGTAAAAAGGGAGGGGAAAACATGTCAGAGGCATTTGAACCAGAGCAACTCCATCTTGAATAGGAGCTGGGTAAAATAAGGATGAGACCGACTTGGCTCCATTCCCAGGAGATTAGACATTCTTAGTCACAGGATGAGATAGGAGTTTGGCACAAGATACAGGTCACAAAGACCCTGCTGATTAAACAGGTTGAGGAAAAGAAGCTGGCCAAAACCCACTGAAACCAAGATGGGGATGGAAGTGACCTCTAGTCATCCTCACTGCTCATTATATGCTAATTATAATGCATTAGCAAGCTGAAAGACACTCCGCCAGTGCCATGACAGTTTACAAATGCCATGGCAATGTCAGGAAGTTAACCTGTATGGCCTAAAAAGGGGAGGAACAGGAACCCTCAGTTCAGGGAATTGCCTACCCTTTTCCTAGGAAACTCGTGATAACCCACCCTTTGTTTAGCATATAATCGAGAAATAACTATAAGCAGCCCATGTGGCTACTCTGCCTATAGAATAGCCATTCTTTTGTTTCTTTACTTTCCTAATAAACTTGTTTTCACTTTAACAACAACAGCAAAAAGGCCTGAGAGAATCTCATTGACGCTTCCACCATGAGAAGACATGGTGAGAAAGCACCATCCATGAACCAGAAAGTGTATCCCCTTACCAGACTCTGAATCTGCCAGAGCCTTCACCCTGGATGTTCTAGCCTCCAGAACTTCGAGAAATAAATTTCTGTTGCTTGTAAGCTACTCGGTTTGTGGCATTTTGCTATAGCAGCTCAAATAGACTAAGACATGTAGTTAACCTACAATGATGAGCTTCTGCTGCTCTAAGATCTTGTATATACCCGACTGCTCTGTTTCCATACCTTTTGACATATACAGTAACTTTTCATGTCAATACCAATTCATGGTGTGATCTTTATGAAGATACTTTAAAGAGCAATGAAACATCATTCTATGCTGTGCTAGGAATATACCTAACTCAGCTGATGTGACAACAAAAATAGCTATGGCCAACATCGCATGTACCCAGGCAATGACAACCATGGCAAAACTGCTGCCTGACCAACAACTGCTATAAGATACCACTGACTGTAAGAAGCATCCTACCTCAGAGATAATAAAGTACAGAGGGAAGTGCTACTTAGAATTGATGAAATATTTATTCCCCCTTTAAGAGATCACCAATGCATATTAACATATTAAAGGTGCAAGGAAGCCCTGCAGTAAAGAAACCCTCTTCCCTGCTTTAAGCCAATATTGAACCAGACAGCCCTCTTTACAAGTTATACCTATCAACATGTTGGCAAATTCATATCAACATATTCTACTGAAATAGAATCTAACAAATCTGAGCATAATCAAGTAATCACAGGGAATTTTTTCAACCGCTTTATAGTCAAGCAGCTATATAGTCAACCAGGAAGACTGACCTGGTTGTGGAATCAAAGACAGAAAAGTAGCCCCCACAGAAATCCTAGAGACTAATGATGATAAGTCAATATCTCCATATTCTTAAAGAAGACACTTGCCGGCCGGGCGCGCTGGTTCACACCTGTAATCCCAGCACTTTGGGAGGCTAAGGCAGGTGGATCACCTGAGGTCGAGAGTTTGAGACCAGCCTGGCCAGTATGGTGAAACTCCGTCTCTAATAAAAATACAAAAGTTAGCCAGGCATGGTGGCACATGCCTGTAGTCCCAGCTGCTCAGGAGGCTGAAGCAGAAGAATTGCTTGAACCCGGAAGGTGGAGGTTGCAGTGAGCCAAGACTGTGCCACTGCACTCCAGCCTGGGTGACAGAGCAAGACTCCATCTCAAAAAAAAAAAATACAAAAATTAGCCAGGTGTGGTGGCATGCACCTGTAGTCCCAGCTACTCGGGAGGCTGAGACAGGAGAATTGCTTGAACCTGGGAGGCGGAAGTTGAAGTGAGCCGAGATCATGCCACTGCACTCGAGTCTGGGCAACAGAGCAAGACTTTGCCTCAAAAAAAAAAAAAGCACTTGCCTCATCCCCAAGTCCAGAGTTTTTATCACGATAAGACTAACTCCTTAGAACCAGTCAAATTCCAGTTTAATAAACACTATGGAGCCCTTGATATACATTAAGTCCTGAGCTCAGCACCAGAGCTACGAAATGCTTATAGGACCTCTGTTTCATCATCTGCAAAAACGCAATAATAATAATAACACAATAATAATAGTATTACTGTATGTATGCAGTGAAGTACTGTATGTACAGCACTTAATATAGTGCCCTGGCTTGGAGGGTTGCAAGTGTCATTCCAGTGAGGAAGATGGAAGGGAAATGTAGGAAATGCCGAAGAAGCACGAGCCACTGGGAGCCATGGGGGCCACTGTCATTCCCCTGTCCCTTATTCTATAAGAGCGATTGCTATAGAGGCTGCTGAGCAAATGGCTTACTGTCTTCTGGTTTAGTTTTAACTTTAGGTTCAACTCATTCAAGTTCTTTTGTGCCCACAAAATCACAAGAATGAAGTGAGGCTTTAGCTGGGCTGGCATCAGTCATCTGTCACCTGCATAGGCTGGGGTTCAGCAGTGCACAGCAATGACTTATTTCATCTTCAGGTTTGTATTTGGTGTGAGAACCTGCAGGGAGAGGGAGATCATTTGGCAAGGGCAGGGAGGGGCATATAAGCATCGGGAGGTGAGCCAGAGTCAGAAGTCAGCTCAGAGGCCTTCACATCCAGCCCAGATCAGGAGCTAAGTAAAGGTGGCACCTTCAGTACTGGGTCCTCTGAACTGGGGGCCATCCAGGACTTCATGAGACATCCAGGCCCACTTTAACTGGGCCCTTAACTGGAGTTAGAGCCACACTAGGTACACAGATTCTAAAGACAGGGATACTTGTACCCAGGGTACCCACTTCACAGCCACACTCCCAGTTCTTTCTCCCTGTCCAAGAGGCTTAACTAGTCACTCCTACTGTACTGCAGTGCTTCTCACACTCACAGCCACTCGGCGGGAATATGTCAGGAGCTTAAACACTCAGCCTCCTGCTAGGAAAGAGAAACTAATGTCAGAGAAAATGTTTAAAAGGAGAGCATTTGAAGGATGGGGAAACCATTAAATTAGAGCATGCTTTTTTTCCCATTTTTCATTTTAAGTGACTCAAAAGTAGGGGAGGAAAAGGGAGAGACAATTCAACACTGCAGAAATGACCACTGACAGCTATAAACAAATGTCTGAATGTTCTCTTCTAGGCAAGATAGTACTACTTTCTGTTACACAGCGTGAGATCTCATTATGTTCTTTTGATAACTGAACACTACACTACTGGTAACATGGAAAACTTATTAAAAATATTCATTAGAGAATTAATATGCTTCATTTCTTCCGATTAAGTGTTGTAATAAAGATATCTTGTCTTTATGTGCCAAATATCTCTCAAAAGAATGAAGAATATCAGAGTTTTAAAAATCTGATTGAATTCATTTACAAACTGTTAACTACTAGAAACAACCTGGCATAATATCCACCTGATTCCTCATAGATGGGTAACTAGTATTATTGATTTGATTTCACTCATCCTCAGGGATTAGAGCAATCTACTTATGGTGACTTCTTGCTTGCTTGCTTTTCTTTTTCTTTCTTTCTTTCTTTTTTTTTTTTTTTGACAGTCTTCCTCTGTTACCCAGGCTGGAGTGCAGTGACAGTCATAGCTCACTGTATCCTCAAAATCATGAGCTCAAGTGACCCTCCTGCTTGAGCCTCTCAAGTAGCTAGGACTACAGGCATGCACTACCTTGCCCAGCTGATTTAAAAAAAAAAAAAATTTGTGAGACAGGGTGTTGCTATGTTGCCCAGGCTGGTCTTGAGCTCCTGGCCTCAAGTGGTCCTCCTGCCTAGGCCTCCCAAAGTGTTGGGATTATAGGTGGGAGCCACTGTGTCCAGCCAACTTCTTAATAACTGAAGCAAAACACTACATAGATGTTGAAACTTCAGTAATAAAGTTGATAACATCAAGTTGCCTTGGCTTCTCCATGTAGACATTAATAGGGATAAAGAACAACTTGTTGAATCAACAAAGATTATCCCAAACACAGGAGGAAAGGAAGAGCAAGGTAAAAGAGAACAAATGAATGGAAAGCTATGTGTCCAGAATCACAGGAATGAATACAGGATAATAAAAGAGAAGAAAGATGTAGGTGAAGGGACAGGGACATATTCAAGGAAAAGCTTAGTAGTAAAGGCATTTACAAACCAGTGAGGGAACTTAAAGATGACCAGAAAAGGGAGCTAAGCATTTTTGTGGCAGCATCTGGAACTGCCTGGAGGATGGAGAAAGGCCCCAGAGAAAAAAGTGACATATATCATGGGTTTCCATGGTGATGATGACAGTGTCACTATCAGAGCATTATGACTTCAGAATAGAAATGAGGATATAATAATAGCATACACTAACATCTCCCTTTTAAATCCCTCCCAAAGCTCTTAGTATTTACTCATTAATTTTCACAACACCTATGAATTAGGGAGTATTACCTATTTTAGAGATCAAAAAATCAGAAACAATTGAAATGGCCACAATGCCTGAAAAAGTATATTGCTGCTAATCTCTCACCCTGCACTATAAACTTGTGGGATAATTGACATAAAGACTATTTCACTGGTGCTTATGCTAAGTAATATGATGAGTTTTTTGAGCTAACCATTTTTGGGAAATGTACGTTGGACCACTGGAGAAAAAACTTTCTAACAAGTGTTCTTAGATTTCTTCTTAATTATAAAACATGAGAAAACAGAAATTTCAGCCTTTTCAACAGCTGAGCATTGTTTTCCAAATGTTTTGCATCAAAGATTACCTGTCTGTCTTCCCCATGGGTTGCTTTTATTGCAACTGGCATTCTTTCAGGCTTTTTAATTTTTTTTCTGGGCTTTGTTTCACTTTACTCTTCTTCCCCCCTCTTCCCCCTACTTCATTCATCTGTTCCATTAACCCCCCTTCAAACACACCCTCAAAACCAGGGATGGGGCCTATGACTATATCACTATAAAATTCTTATTACTACTCATTCTTAGAATGATTAGGACACTCATTAACCTGGAGAGGAAATTCATATTACAGTTGAAGAAGTTTTGGAATCGGACAAGCTGGGTTCTAATCCTGCCTCTGACACCTGCCAGCAAAGTGACCTTAGACCAACTACTTCTCTGATCTTAGTTTTCTCCATCTGTAAAGTAAAATTATATTTGTATGTATTTCCCAGGGTTGCTGTGAGGATAAAATTGGATAATGTATATAGAGCATTTAGCAAGAGTTATTCCTGAGGCTATGAAAACGCAGGCTTCCCTATCTAGGTAGCTCTCCTTCCACTTTCTCATACCCTATTTTGCAATCCCCAACTTGACTCTAAAGCCTTTTAACACTAATCTCCTTTCAAGGGTCTCTCTCTGTTCCCATCTTGAAGACAAAGAGCAAGAATGCTCAGAAAAGCTATGTTCACATTCAGTATCTATTGGGACCTCAGGAAGTGGCTGAGGGACTATAAATCCAGAGAACAAAATTTTACTGTGTTTCCTCCTTCCAAACCATGTGATCTTGGGTAAGCTGCTTCTCAGATCCTCAAGTTTCTTCTGTAAAATGGCATCACAATGCCTACCTCATAGAAAATTTTTTTTTGAGACAAGTTTCGCTCGTTGCCTAGGCTGCAGTGCAATGGCACAATTTCAGCTCACTGCAACCTCTGTCTCCCAGGTTCAAGTGATTCTCCTGCCTCAGCCTCCCAAGTAGCTGGGATTACAGGCATGCACCAACACACCTGGCTAATTTTGTATTTTTAGTAGAGACGGGGGTTTTTCCATGTTAGTCAGGCTGGTCTTGAACTCCCAACCTCAGGTGATCTGCCTGCCTTGGCCTCCCAAAGTGCTGGGATTACAGGCATGAGCCACTGCTCCCGGCCTTTACAGAGATCTTATGAAAGTTAAAAGTACTTATGAATGTAAAAATGGCTTATACAGGAGCATAACACACAATCAATGTTCAATAAAGTGTGACCTGAACGTGACTGTGAATTAAAAATATTTCCTATCATTCTCACTTTCCTAGAATTTAACAGTAATGAAGTAAATTCTGGTATATCCTGTGATGCAGTTACTAAAATCCTAGAGTAGAACATTATTAACATGGGGAAAATGCTCATGATCTATTACTAAGTGAATAGTATTTTATATTATTTTTGTTTTTTAAAAAACACTCAACACATACACACACACACACAGACACAAAAAGGGTTTTTACCAAACTTTTCTGTACTAAGCATTTATCCTTTTCTATTTAGGGACAGAAAGTTAAAATAGAAATTTTAAAAGGAGCTATGGCAAAAAAAAAAAAAAAAGTATTGTATGGTGGGTCCATCAAGCATGACAATGGAAGGAAGGCACTAAAAGCAGTGGGGAGTGTGGAGAGGGTAAGGAGAAGCCAAGAGTGGGGGAAGGGAGAGGGAGAAAACAGGTCAGAGTGAGGACGAGGTAAGTCAGGGCTCAGAGTCAGAGGAGCCTTGTCTTCCATGCGTTTGTTGCTGGGATTGCCAAAATGCCTGCGGAGATACAGGGTCGCGTCTCAGCCATGCAGGCCACAAACATTCAAAGTTCACTGGGGGAACTGGGAGCCGGAGGAATTCTGAGCCCAGGGGGCTTTAGATGCCCTGATTTTTCTGTCTCAGATCCACAGAAAGGGTGATTTACTTGCCTGCTTACGCAAAAGCTAACAGATGACCTAGATGGCCTCCCATGTGGCTTTCAAGTCTAGGAGACTGATTTACTAGGGTTTTGATTTATTCTCCTCCAATGAGCAAGAAACCAAAAGCTATCACCGCTAGGTGGCATGCCCCAAATACTATTAAACTTTGAAACTGGCAGAAAAGTTGGTATCTCAGGGAATCACACACACTCTATAAGTCAAAAGCACTGCTAGAGGCAACAAGATGATCATAGAAGATTTTCAGTTTCTCACTGTTAAAAACAAAAATCATCAAGCAAAACCACTGTAACAATAACAAACACTCCTTTCCCAAATAATATATTAAATGCGTTTCTCATGGACACATCCTGGAATCCCCCTGGGAAACATGGCCCCCATACCCCTATCAGTGCCTATAACAATCTCCTCCTTTCCCAACCAAAATAAACAAGTGTCCCCTATCATATGCCAAAAGCAGAAGTAGGTCTCTGATGTCATCAAAGAATAATGTACAACCACAGATACAAGATTTGCATGAGCTGAAGTAGGACAAGAAATTCCCCACACAGGATCTATTATGGTCGAGAAAGGACAAGAATGGGACCCAGGCCAGAAAGAATATACTTCTTTTGACCTAATAATCTTCTCTTTCTAAATATCACTGCCACTGTCAGGATCTCTATATTAAGCTAGAGCTGTTAGTCATTTACACCTTAATGTGGATTACTTTTCTCTGCTGTCTTTTCTCCGGAACGTTACATGTCATTGGTTATTCTACAAGAATAAAATTTTAGTTGAATGGCTAAAAAGAGGAATGATTTTAGAGCACATGAAAGGAGTACCCAGAAAGGACAGGACAGGGTAGGGCCTTGAACTTGAGGACTCTGCATATGGCTGCAGAGGGTCACCAAGCTCTTGGCATTTTTGAATGAGGAGAGGAGAGTGTAGATGGAGAAATAATTAAAGGGAAGTGCTGAAAGAAAGGGATGTGGCAAGACACATTTTGCATAATTCATAGATTTGCCTAGGACTATCTGGATGCCTAGTGATGAAATGTGAAGAAATACAGACAATTTGGTATTTTCCAACTATGTAACTCTAACAGGAAATTCCCTGTATTGTCCTATATTTAAATAAATTAAATATATGAGATGTGACAATAAATACAAGGGCAGATTTTTTTAAGCAAACACACATGTATAGACACACAAATGAGTTATTATCCCTTTCAAAGTATTCACCCATTTTAATAATGCAAACCATTTTGGAAGCTCCTCTTTTAAAATTGACACATATCTTTTGAAAACCCAGTGCTAACACAACAGCATTCTTTCTGAAAGTGGATTTCATTTGTTGAAAGAGTCAAAAGTTGGCTGGGTGTAGTGGCTCACCCCTTTAATCCCAACACTATGGGAAGTAAAGGCAGGAGATAGCTCGAAGCCAGGAGTTCAAGATCAGCCTTGGCAACATAGCGAGACCCTATCTCCACAAAAAAAAAAAAAAAAAAAAAAAAAAGGCACTGGCCTGGTGCGGTGGCTCACACCTGTAATCCCAGCACTTTGGGAGGCTGAAGTGGAAGGATTGCTTGAAGCCAGAAGTTCAACACCAGCCTGGGCAATACAGTGGGACCCCATCTCAATAAAAAATATAAAATTTTGAAAAAGTCATTTGGAGCTAAATTTGGCAAACAGAAAGGATGATCAATAAGAATGTTCCATTTTTGGTCAAAACTGAAGCACGACTCAGAAGTATGTGCTCTAGTATCACACTGGGCCACAATCCTTCTTCCACCATTTTATTAGCTCTGTGAACATAAGCAAGTTATGAAATCATTATTTGCCTCGGTTCTCTCATCTATAAAATGCAAATGATAATAATACCTACCTGATAATGTTGCTACGAGATTAAATGACATAATGCATACAAAATACTTACATGGTACTGTAAGTATACGTGGTAAGTAAGTATACACGGTACTGTATAGGGGCAAATGCCAAATAAATAGTAATAATGTTAGTAGTGGCAACAGCAATAATAGTAGAAGTGGCAGCAGCCACAGTAATATGTGGCTTGTAAACCTAAGGAGGCAATTTTTAAAATATGTAGCCTCCCAACTAGCAACTTTCAATAACTGCACCAATTTGCATGTGTATTCTGACATATTTTTAATCTTGTTTTTTTGTTTCTTAACCCATTCTTATTTAAACTCAGATGGCACATATTTTCCAAAGAGTTCCCTCCAGTCAGTGAAGAATATTCAGAGAGGCAGCTTCTGTACCAGTGGTTTAAAATTATTGTACCAATACATTAGAATTCATGAAGATGCTCTATTATCTAGACATGTCAAATTATATGTCTTGTTAATTCACAATAAAGATGTATCAAGCAAATGCCGATCATTTTCTAAAAACTGCTAAAACAGATTAAATCAGTCACTGACTAAAATAGATCTACTCAATCAATATATAATTATTGACCATAAATTTTGGGCTGTATGGTCTGGTCTCTGGGGTAACAACCAGAGATATACGGATGAACCAAACAGATATAGCAGACCAACAGGAAGTTCTTGGATTCTCGAAACTACTTCCAGCTAAGGGACACACACACACAAATACATAGGGCACCTCTGGAAGAACACTCAATACACTAGCAATAGTGATTGTCTCTGGGGAGCAATTATTTAATACTACTTTGAACTGTTCAAGTTACCTTATGCATGCGTTACCTTTTCAAAAAGTAAATAGAAGTTAAAAATTTAAACTTTTATATACAACAAAAAATGGAGTAGTTTCTTCAAACCTGCTATGCTGATTCACATCTATTTTAATGATGTGAAATATCTGTGCTTACCTCTTCACTTAGAAAATTAAATCATTCACTACAATATAATACTGTTATTGATCCCAGTCCATTAATTACTCCTAATTTCCCTTGTAAGCACATAATAACAGCTGTGCAACCCATCAGTCCACATGCCACGGTGATGGCCTGTTGAAATGCTTTGCTAAAGAATTTGGTCATGGAGGGGTTATCAGGATATTGTCATCTTTCTGGGTAACCATTTCCAAAGCTGGTGAGCAGAGTCTAAAGCCAACTCAGCATAGCCATCCAGCATCCTCCTCATCCATCAGCTGCATGTCTTCCCAAGGTGCTAAGCAATGACCTTCCTCCATGAACACTGAGGCTCATTTTCTTCTTTGAGGCTCATTGCTATGTTCTCAACTCCAGAGAGTAGTATGTCCTTCAGGTTTAAACTTGCCAAAAAAAAATCCATAAATCAATCAGCAAACATTTATAAATCATCTCCCACATTCAAGGTACTGTGATGGATGTTTCAGGGATGTCAAGAAATATAAAATGTGGTTTCTAAACTCTAAGAGTTTATTGTCTAGTTAGAGAACTAAAACACATAAAAATTCAAAACATGGAACCATACAAGTAGAATACTAAAAGTACCAAATTAAGAGGTTAAGGGGGAAGAGGCAATAATATTTATCAAATGGCTGTGCACTGTGCTAGGTGCTTCACATGTCCATTTCACTTAATCATCCTTCCAGTTCCACTTTGAATTCCATTTTATAGACTTGGAGGTGAAGAAAGTTGCCTAAAATCACACAGATGATCATGGCAGGGCTTGCGTTTAAATTAAAGTAAGCCTGATTCCAAGGCCCTGCTCTTCTGACTCAAGCTTTGTCTTCCCAATATATACCACGATCCCCGTAGAAAATAAGTGCTCTAAGGATTAATTGAAACAAGTTATCACTTTGAATGGTAGCATAAGGCATCATGAACAGGATGTGAAATTTGAGAAAAGCTTTTAAACAGGTTAAAAACCCAAGGATGAGTAGAATGTTATAAGGTAAAAGGAAGGAAGAAAAATCTATTTCCATCTGTAAGAAAGTGCCTGTACTACAGTGTAGAGATGGAAGAGCCCAAGCTGGTGAGACGACCATTCTGTGTTGTGCCTGATCTGGTTACCTGCTCATCTCAGTACAGGTATACAGCATGGTCCTGGAAGTGCAGAGGTGCTTTAGGGACCAGCCAACCCATGAATAAGTGGGCTCTTCTTGGGAGGCAGTATTCCTGCACATACAATAGGAAAGGCATGGGCCAAACATCTCCAAGCCTTATATCTTCTCAGGGATTCTTGGTGTATGTCAGTGGCCCATCATACAAGACCAACAATTTTACTTAATTATAGGTAATGAATATATTAAAATGAACATATAGATATTTTGGAGTAGAATCCAGCATTAACATGGATTTTGTTAGTACAAGGTATTAATGTAATGCCATGCTTGTAATGGGCCCCATGAGCTCTGGCCCAGACGGCTGGGATTCATAGTTTGTACTCCTCTCCCATTAGGGGTTTCTCAGGGTGAGGACTGAGAGGTGCTGATATGGAGGAGACACACATGTGGCATAGCACATGATATTGTGGAGGCAAAAAGAGAGGAAAAGAGGGTCTATAATGGCCCTCCAGATCTCCATGTTCTGATGTCTGTTGTCATCCATACTCTCGTGTTGTTTGTTTCTTGCCTTGACTAATGAATAAAGTTCTCATTAGGAACACTCCATGCGTTACTAGGTCCTCATAGTCATCTTCGGCTTTGCACTTTGTCTCATATCCCACATCTGATCCATCAGCAAATCCTGTTGTCTCTACCTTGTAAGTGTACCCAGAATCCAACAGCGTCCCCACCTGTACTGCCAACACCCCATCCCAATGTTCACTGTCACTCCCCTGCTTCATCGCCACCGTGGCCTCCCAGTTGGCATCCCTACCTCTGCCCTTGCCTGAGAGAGTCTACTCTCCACAGCAGCCGGGGTGCTCATGTGATAACATGCATCACATCATGAGGCTGCTCTGCTCCATGCCCCCAGGAACAGGCTATCCCCCTCAGAGTAAAAGCCCAGGACCTCCAAATCCCCTGCAAGGCCCCACCGGTCCTTTCCAACCACCCCATCTGTCCTCCCTTCTCTCACCATTACCCAGCCACATTGCCTGTTTACTGTTTCTGAGGAAGTCATCTATCTCCCTCCTCAGGGCTCTTGTACATTCTGTTTGTTTTCCCTGACACGCCCTTCCTCAGATATCCCTGTGGCATTACCCTTTCCATCTCTAGACCTTGGCTCAAGTGTCACTTTTTCAGGGAGACCTTCCCTAACCATCCCCAACATGCTCTGCTATCTGCTCTGCTATCAACATCTGACAATCCACTTATTAAACATGTTTATTGCCTGCTTCCCTCTACCAAAATGTCAGTTCCATGAGGGTGAGGATTGTTATTTCACTCATTCCCAGCTCCTTGAGCAATGCCTGATGCATCTTTGGCATGCAACAAATAATAGTCGAATAAATTCATCTACCTGGTAGTCCTTGGCTGGAAAAAGTTTTTGATTTTTTGTCTTTATAAAGCAAAGATGAAACTAAACTACCTGCCAAAAAGACAAAGAGAAATTGCATTTAAATAAAACTTAAAACAAGTTGCAGAATTTGCATAGTATAATCTCATTTTCAGTTTTTAAATTGTATGTGTGGGTATATATTATTGAACACTAACTGCATGCTAGCAGCTTGATAAACGGACTATACATGAGCTATGTACTATACTCATATAAATGTTCATAATTGCATAATAAAAGCACTGGAAAACACGTACCAAACTGTTAGCAAGTGGGAGTGAGGTTTGAGGGACTTGAGAGAAGACTAGCTTTTACTTTACACCATTCTTCATTAATTGAATGCTTTACAATGGAAATATTTTATAAATACAAAAAGAAAAACATCTGAAGAAACTCAATATCAGCGCCATTTCTACTGAAAATTTTTCATCTTGCAGTTTTAACTTCTCACAGAATCCTTTCCTTTGGACTTGAGGCCTCTGAACCTGTGCTAATTGCACTCTGTCAGGAATTCGTCCTTGGCGACCATAGAAAATATTACAGGTGTCTGTGCTACCCAGAAAGCAAAGGGTTGTGGTGCTTTCTTTTTTCCTTTGAGTTACATTGCGACTGGCACAGTTATGAAATGAGAAATGTTACACACAAGATTGCCACAATCCCCATTTTTGGCTTATCTTTATGTCCCATACATTCTTTTAAGATTTCTATCGCCTCAGTATTGTCGATTTCCACATCCACAGCCTAACAACGTGGTGCAATCGCCCTTTGCGACGCCGCAGACCAACAGACGGATGCTGCCCTGCTGCAGTTTCACAGCACACCGGGTCTTTCCGCTTCAGCTGGACAGAGGCCCAGCCAGGCCGTAGGGAGGATTCCGAAGGTCTCTCTGCAGAGGACCGGCCTCTCAGACCGAGAAGGCTCCACCCAGGCAGGAAAGGACACTGTATGTGGGGCAGTCGGCCTGGGCCCCATGGCTCGTGTTTGTTGCTGAATTGGGCAACGTGGGCTGCGGTTCACAGGGCAACAGAGACTTCACCACCTAACACATCGGGGCTGGTGCAGCTGAGGAGGGCTGCTTCTGCCTCTTGGTGACCACGCCCTTTCCCAGGCTGGGCCCACAGGAAGTCTGGCCGGGAAGGGAGGAGGCACTGCAAGCTGTGGGAACCACACCGGCTCCTTCACTGCTGACAAAGATCTACTCCACCCCCACCGAGAAACTAGCTCAGAACCAGCTTTCCTCCTCCTCCGCAGCCCTCATGCCCTGAATGGCTGACTTGGGGGATGTTTACACTCATTTTTTTCATACTTAAGGGGGTGTGGGTGCCAGATCAACTTGCTCACCACTCAGACCGCACACAAGAAGCCTTATGTTGAAACTTGTTCAACCTCCAGTAACCAAGTCATGCAAGTGGAGAAAACTAGATAGCATTGCACACACACATATACATACACAGGCATATATAGACACATATATATCCATATATATGTGTTTATGTGTGTGTGCAATTATCTTTATACATATATTTAAAAATTTTATATATATATATACACACACACATATATATATAATTTTAATGCTAATAATGCTTGCCAAATGCTTGGTTTCAGTTGACTGCTGGTGGAGTGTACAACCTTGGTACAACCTCTCTGAAAGGCAATTTGACAACAGATATCAAAAGCCTTAAAGGTTTTCATATCCACAGTAATTCCACTTCAAGAATTTAAAGAAACATAAAATGTATATACAAGGTTGTTCCTTCTAAGGTTACAGCTACAAGTATAGACTACTTTAAAGCCATTCAAAATAATCTTTTGGAAGGTTTTTAAGGGGATAAAAAAGTCACCATAATAAATGAAAAGCCCTACATTTATATAAAAATGGGCATAGTCTCACATAAAAATATGTGTGTGCATATGTATCTATGCATGTGAGTGTTTCTGTGTACATAGAGAGAAGGAGCACTTCCTTTCTCTTGAACTACCCTCTGCCCTTGGTTTCCAATCACTGCATTCTTTCCTAGTTTTCTTCCTAGTCCACTGGCTGCTCCTTTGTTCTCCCATATTGCATCCTTCTCCTCTTCCCAACCAATCCATATTAGAGGGCTCAACCTCTGTCCTCAGACCTCCTGGCCATCTACATGTCACTCCTGAGACCATCTCCCCTACATCCTCTCTATGCTGATAATCCGCCAGATAAAATCTCCCTGCCTGTCCTCTTCCCCTAAGCTCCCGACTAGAAATCCTCACTCAGGTGTGAAATTCTTACTTGGCCTTCTTATATCCAAAATGGAACTTTTGATTTCCATTGCTGTCTCCTCCCCCTCACACACACACACACACCTGCTTCCGTCTCATTGTTTCCCATCTCAGTAAATGGATCATCATTTCACAAGAGATGGGACTAGAAACCAGGGCATCATATGCTTGATGCCTTCCTTCTTCTCTCATACCTTACATCCAACCCATTAGTAGCAAGTCCTGTTGTCTCTATGTTCAAAATATGCACCAAATCCAGCCCCTCTCCTCATCAGCACTGCCCACTCCTCTGCCACCAGCATCTCTCCCCCAGACTTCTATGAGAGCCTCCCCGTTAGTCTCCCTGAATTCACACTGCCCGCCTACAATCTGTTCTCCATAAAGCAACTAATGATCCTTTTATAAAATAAATTACATCAGAAGGCATGAAACCTATAAACAAAATGTTAAAAGTTATCCAGGAATGATGAGATTATGGGCTGTTCTTATTTTATTCTGTCTGCTTCTCTACTATTTGTCACATTTCTAACAATAAACACATTTCACTTTTACCAGTAAGAAATCAAAATGTTGTTTTGAAAAAACAAAATTACAGGTTTCAGGTTGACAGGGTAGGAGTTTAGCTTCCATGAATCAGCCCTGACAAACCAATACCAAGCAAGCTACAGAGCAGTAATGAGTTCCCAACCTCCAAAGGCAGCAGCAAGAAGCAAGGAAGAATGTCCTAAACCAAGACAGCAAATACATGGCACTTGTGATGCCACTTCTGCCTCGTATACACATAACTGACATCACTAAATGACTGGCACCATTGCCAGCTGAGCCTGGATGCAGCCTCATATCCTTCTCAACACAGAGACAGCCACTATCATTCAATTAGGGTTGACACTTACATATTTACCATCTGTAATAAGCATTCTATCTCAGGATTGTGGAGTTAAATTTTTATGCTCCTTTATAAAAGAATATAATGCACTCAATATTTTCAAGTTACTTTTACATCTAAAATCTCATATACCTTCACAAAACCTCAGAAGGTAGGAAGAGCAGGTATTTTTTTAATTTTTATTTTTACTTTAAGATCTGGGGTACATGTGCAGGATGTGCAGGTTTGTTACATAGGTAAATGTGTACAATGGTGGTTGGCTGCACCTATCAACCCATTACCTAGGTATTAAGCCCAGCATGCATTAGCCATTTTTCCTAATAAGAGCAGATATTTTTACCCCCCTTTTAATAGAATTGAGGGCCACAACAGTTAAAGTCACACAGCAGAGCCCTGGTCTCCTCATGGCCACACTCCCCTGTGCTTTTCTGTGGTTCCCATAAACCTCTGCAGGCTCTGAAAGAGGTCAGAACCTCACATCCCAGCAGAGGTAAATGTAGGGGCCAAGGATAGCACCAAACCTGGACAGAGATGGGCCACAAGTGATGCATAGTCCGTTACTATTGACAACTTTGAAAATAAATAGTGAAGACACAGATGAAGGGACATTCACAAATTTCATAACAAAAGCCATCATCCTCTTCAGGGGCAGGACCTCTAGAAGCCAAACATGTTTGTTGGTCACCATAGCAACCATGAACTGCCTGCCACCCCTCCATTTGACCTATTCTGAAGTAGCTTTTTTTAAGGACTCCCAAGCCTGCAAAGAACAGATTGCTCAATTGGCTTTAGCATCTTTTCACCCTTTGCTGTTCCCTTCTCTGCGGTTGTACACAGGTTCAATGCCCAAGAAAAATGAAGTATCCACATGACCGCCATGAAGCAGAATTCAAATTTCCACTGCTGTCCCATCTGCCTGAAGTAAGCCGCTTACTCCATAAGCCACTAAGCAATTAATTGCTGTCAGAGATAGTTTGACCCCTGTCCTTGGCAAGCCAATTCATGAAACTCCTAGGGCAGGAAATAAGTGGAGAAAACTCATATTCCCAAAGGAATGGGTGTGGTGCTCTCAAACAGAAAAGACTGTCAGGAAGATTCCTTTCTGTAACATACAGGACCACGTGGCAACATCAGCAATTGGAGAAGTTTGTCTTCTCTTCAGTCCCTGCTTTGACTTCCTTCCCCTCACACATACACCTCACCCTCCCATTGATTGCTCCACCTGCTCCCCACCCCCCTAAGGCATTCTCTGCCTCCCCTCTTCAGATACCCCCAAAGGTTGGATCCTTTATATTATTTTCTCACCTTTATGCCTTTTTTGTAATAAAATACTCTGTCTCTTTGGTGGATATGCAAGTGAGAGAGCCATCCTTTGACCAGTGAATTTTTCTGATATTACAGTAAGACTAATCCTGATCCAAACTCTTTCTACATATTTTCTATTTTAATGTTTATTTATTTATTTATTTTTGAGATGGAGTTTCGCTGTTGTTGCCCAGACTGGAGTGCAATGGTGCAATCTCGGCTCACCGCAACCTCTGCCTCCCAGGTTCAAGTGATTCTCCTCCCTCAGTCTCCCGAGTAGCTGGGATTACAGGCATGAGCCACCACGTCCGGCTAATTTTGTATTTTTAGTAGAGACGGGGTTTCTCCATGTCGGTCAGGCTGGTCTCGAACTCCCAACCTCAGGTGATCAGCCCGCCTCGGCCTCCCAAAGTGCTGGGATTACAGGCGTGAGCCACCACGCCCCTCCCGCTCTTTCTACATATCTTTGATGCAGGGGTGGAG